>NC_000015.10:92350369-92501884 GCF_000001405.40 Homo sapiens | reverse complement strand
ATAGATATATTGTGTGATGCTGAGGTTTGGAGTACAAATGATTTTGTCACCCAGGTAGTGAGCATGGTACCCAATAGGTAGTTTTAAAATTCTCACCCTCTTCACACCCTCCAACCTCAAGTAAGCACTGGGGTCTGGTGTTCCCCTCTTTGTGTCTATGCATACTCAACATTGAGTTCCCACTTGTAAGTAAGAACATGTATTTGGTTTTCTGTTCCCGTGTTAATTCACTTAGCATGATGGCCTCCAGCACCATCTGTGTTGCTGCACAGGACAGGATCTCATTCTTTTTTATGGATGTGTAGTATTCCGTGGTGTATATGTACCACATTTTCTTTATCCAGTCCACTGTGGGTGGACATCTAGGTTGATTCCATGTCTTTGCTATTGTGAAAAGTGCTGCAATGAACATATTCATGCACATTTCATTATGGTAAAAAGACGTATTTATATATTTTTGAGTATATGCCCGGTAATGGGATTGCTGGGTCAAAGGGTTGTTCTGTTTTAAGTTCTCTGAGAATCTCCAAACTGCTTTTCACAGTGGTTGAACTAATTTACACTCTCACCAGCAGTGTATAAGTATTTGAAGGTCCATTTTCTATTTTGATAGCTATTTGCAAATTGTCCCCCAGTGGAGTGGCACTGCTTTACACTCCTACCAAGAATGTATGAGAATTCCTGTTTTCCCACAACCCATACCTCATCAACCCTGGGTGTTACTACACTTCTAGATCTTTGCTCAACTGATAAGCAAAACTATTATTGCTTTAATATGCATTTATTCATTTCTTATCATTTAAATTGGCTTTTACTCATTTGTGAGGAAAGTTGGGCAATTTTTCACATTTTATTATGCTTAAAATTCATTTTTATGTATTTTTGTAGAGACTGGCCACAGAGATATTTATATTTATGTTGTTTCCTTGAAGGCTTCTGGCTTCAGCATCATGCAAAGAAAAGCCTTCTCAACTTTGAGGTTTTAAAGTGATGCTCCAATAGAAAAAAGATTAAATAAAGCATTTCTGGAGTGATAAAGAAGGTCAAGCCCGTTCCATTTGCAAGCATTTGGCTTGTTCAGAACTTTTCAGGAATGCGTGTCTTGGGTGTAGAGTGGCATAAGTGTATTTCTTTCCCATCTGGATGCCTGGTTAAAATGGTTGTTCCCCCTTCCATTGAACAATTACGAACAGCTCCAATCTCAGCTTCTGGTGAAGGCTGGAGCTCCCGATCTGAAGGGCGAGGTCGGGGCTCTGGTGGGAGCCCCTGCAGGATGCCCCCCTCTTCCTGATGTTGTTTGCCACCCATTCCTAGGGCCTCGTCGATCCTCTGTAGGTAGCTTCCAAATACCAGCTCCTCTGGGTCTTGTTAAAATCCTTTATCAATGCCCATCTTTCTCAGCAGGGGTGACCTTTAACTCAGCTTTGCTGTCACTACCTGACTTGGATAACCTCCAAAGGAAGGTTGCCATGGCGATCCAGCATTCAGCTCAAGCAAATCTGGTTTCTGTATCTTATTAAATGTTCCCTAAAAAGGAAATCACACCGAGATACGGAAGACGAGGTCATTAGCATGGAGCCATAATGTTCTGTCACCCTCTCCCCCTCCCCAATTACCAGCCTGTCCTCTACCATGAGTTGAGTCATTGCCCCTCTTCTCCTTTTCCTAATCTCAGTTGTCATGGTGAGTGCTTAAATTTTAGGGGGTGGGAGGGGGTATGGTTATGGCAAATGTCAATCTGCCTTTCAAAAGACGTTTTTATAGCTCAAATCTAACACCACTGGCAAATGTCAGAAGTGGGTGCATAATGAGGTCGTGTTAGAGAGGCCGATTGGATGGATGGATATGCTTTTCTTCTTTTTATTGTGGCATTTTCTCTCTTTTCCTGGGGACGCTGTTTTCACCATGACTCTCATTAAATTGAGAGATAATCTCCTTTAAACTACAAGCTCAGTGCTCCTTGCTCTGGGAGAGCAGCTGGAATGTACAATTGCTGCTGGTGGCTTTCAGAAGGTTATTTTGTATTCACTCCGTGATTAAAAGAAGAGAGGAGAAGGCAGGCAATATGGGCACCCGCAGAGTTTGTGGGAGGGTGGACCCGGCTTTCAGTCCTTTGGTGACGGTCAGCCTGGTGAAAGGGATGATCGGGTATCAGGGAGGATAAAGCCACTATTGGAAAGGTTAGGGGCTGCGGTCAGTCCTTGGGCACGTCAGTGGCCTTGGCCTCTAGAGGCAGAGCCCCACATCTGCTCCGGGTGGAGGGGAGGCCTGACCTTCTGGCCAGTGCACAGAGAAGTGGAGGGTGCAGGGGAGGCAGAGGAGGAGGGGGCTTTGCTGGGTGGGGGCCTTACCTCCTTCTGGAAGGTGGTCCCCACTGTATTTGTCTGCTGGGGCTGCCTTAATAACATTGCAGTCTGAGAGCCACAACAATGGGAATTTATTGTCTCTCAGTTCTGGAGACTGCAAGTCTGGGATCACGGTATCAGCAGGGTTGGTTCCTTCTGGGGCCCCTCTCTCCCTGGCTTGTAGGAGGCCGTCTTCTCCCTGTGTCCCACATGGGCTTTCCCGGGCATGCCCATGTCCTTATCTCCTTTCTTTTTTTTGAGATGGAGTCTCGCTCTGTTGCCCAGGCTGGAGTACAGTGGCACGATTTCAGCTCACTGCAACCTCTGCCTCCCAGGTTCAAGTGATTCTCCTGCTTCAGCCTCCCGAGTAGCTGGGACTACAGGTGCCCGCCACCACACCTGGCTAATTTTTGTATTTTTTAGCAGAGACAGGGTTTCACCATATTGGCCAGGCTGGTCTTGAACTCCTGACCTTGTGATCTGCCTGCCTCAGCCTCCCAAAGTGCTGGGATTACAGGCGTGACCCACTGCACCTGGCCTCCTAACCTCCTTTCTTACAAAGTCACCAGTCAGATTGGATTAGGGGCTACTCTAATGGCTTCATTTTTACCTTAACCATCTCTTTAAAGACTCAGTCTCCAAATACAGTTCTATTCTGATATATTGTGGGGTAGGAGTTAGGGTTAGGTTAGAGTTTTGGTGGGACACAATTCTGCCTGTAATTCTTAACTGCTTCTGCCCAGCCCTCTGTTCTGGGCCACTCTTGGCCCCATGCTGTATTTGAGGGGAATAGCCAGAAGTCTGTTCTGCAAGCATGCTTCAGCATTGTGCAAAACCAAACAGTGTCTGGGACTTCACATTTACGAGATGTCGGCTGCTGTCTTGACGGAATGCCAATAACATTTGATGTTCAACTAATACAATAATCTGCTGTTAAAAATATAATAAAATATAATATTCTAATAAAATAATAAAAGTTGTCAGTTAGATCACTTGTTATAGTATCTCCTAGCCCTCTGTTCTTCTCTTCTGCTGACTCCCCAGACCCATAATACAGTGCTTGTAGAATGATTAGGTTATTGTTCCACTTGATTAGAAGCTTCATCCAGGCAACATCCAGGCCTGTTTTTCTCACCCTGTATTTGGATCCCCTTTCACAGGGCCTGGTACATAGTGGGTGCTCAAAGGTACGTGGTGGATCAATGGAGTGATATGCATTCTTATTTTTTCCTCTAGGAGGGAATGAATGACCACTTGCATCAGACACTTTTTTGACAAGTCAGTGTCCAGCTTCCACACATATCTGGAAGATACCCACAAGCACCAAAGGGGCCTTCAGTTGAGGGGGAGTCCATCTCATCCAGCAGTCTGCTCTGACCCCAGAGCTAAACACTGGTTCTTCCCTTTTTTCATTTCTAGTTTAAAAAGTTTCATTTCATGTTATTTTTTAATTGGAAAATAATAAGTGTACATATTCATGGGGTGTCGTTACTGTACCCCACGTATTGAAATAATGATATTTCAGTACACATAATGTACAGTGGGTGATCAGATCAGGGTAATCAGCTTATCCATCATCTGAAACATTTACCATTTGTCTGTGTTGGGAACGTTTGCTATCCTCCTTCTAGCTATTTGAACCTATGTAGTATATTATTGTTAGCTCTCATCATCCTGCAGTGGTACAGAGCCCTTGGACCTACTCCTTCTACCTAGCTGTAATGTTGTTTCCTTCCCCCAGTTTTCTAAAGGACCAGCACAAACACTGATCTGTTTACAAAACCTCACCAAGGTTTGAAGAAATTACACAAAAGAAAATGAGACCTTAAAACTGGCACTGGGGTTTCCTTTCCATCAAAGCCCATCTCTGCTGTGGGCCCACAGCGCTTCTCACCTGCCATCATCCTCATAGCAGTCTTTTGCCTGAGTCCAAGTTATGAGGTCTTGCCCTCCACAACTGAGTCAGTTTTGTGTTCTCATGCCCTCACCCCCACTCCCACACACCTCACCCCTATTCTAGAGCCCCCGAGCCCCTGTGGGCTTGTCTGGGCCAGGTTGGAGCTAGCAAAAATCAGCTAGCCTCAAAATCCTTTTTGGAGAGACGTCCCTGACCCTGTGGGAGTGACCGCCTTTGCCTTGATTATACCCCGAGGTCCCTGTCCCCATACAGCATGCACATCTAGTTGCCCATCAGGCTCAGCATGCCTGCCTCAGGACACCTGCATGGGGGCTTAGTCCTTGCCCTGTAAGAGAACCACCAGAGTGGCCTCTACCCACCGCAAGGGAGGGAGCCTGCCCCCAAGGAAAACCACAGCATCTCCCCCAGAGCCTCTGGAAAGAAATTCCCTGGTCTTTGGCTTCACGTACTGGAGCGTCAGAAATACCGCGTTCGGTGCCAGAGATGCCTGTATTGTAGCTCTCCTTATCCATAGCCTGGGACCAAGGTGACACTCTGAGACATTAGCGGACAGTGACTTGGCAAAGGGTGGTAACATTGCTCAGTGAGGAGTGGCTGGCACAGGAATGGCATCAGTCTCTGATGCTCATCTGGGTGACCCAGCACACGTGCTGAGAAGCCCACTGATAGGCTAAGTGGAGTAGGGAGAAAGAGAGGGTTCCAGAGTCAGCCCCAGGTGGTCAGTACACTTCCCATCCCCTTCCCTTCACTCCACAAACCTGGGATAAAATCAGCGCTGCTGGGTCAGGCCAGAAAGACAGGGCTTCCCCGGGGACGGGGGCAGTGGAAGCCCATGCCTCTCCCTCCCCTAGGCTTGCCTGCTTGGAAAGAGGGCTGAGGAACTGGGCTGAGGTGAAGCTGGTACCTGTGGTGATGGAACAGGCTGAATTGTCCACGTCACTCTTTCTCACTGTGTGCTAGGCACTACACTAGGGATTCCACACGAATGTTTCCATCCAGGTCTTATGGGCACCTGTGAGTTTACAAATAGATCAACGGGAGCTTCTGTGAGGCCCAGATCACACTGCCAGATTGAATCATGGCTAGAATTTGAACCCAGATCTCCTGACTCCAAACCTCACGTCTCGATGACTCCCACTTCTTTACCACTCTCTCTCCTAGTAGGCAGAGTCCTGGGGAGATGGTGCTCCTGTGTGGTTTTGAAAAGCTCATACCTGAGAGGTGATGACTGAAAAAATATTTTAGAAGTCTTTATATCATCAGTAGCAGCAAACTCAACTCTCTGAGTCGCTGGAAGGACCCTAGAATTCTCGGGGCTCCCCTCCTGAGTACATGGTAAAAAGAGCTTGCAGCTGTAAGGATGGCAAGCTCCTTAGGAGCTCAGCACAGAAATGGCCGGGAGCTCTGGGGAAGGCCAGCCCTGCCTGCATGGGGAGGGTATTCTTTCCAAAAGTACCTGCTCTTCCTCCAGGTCACCTGCTGCTTTCTAAGGAAGGATCCTGTGCTGTCCCCACCATGACCATGGGCTTCCCTGTCTCCAGCCCTCTCAAGCTCGGCTCACCTTCCAAAGAAGGTGGACAACAGATCACACCACCTTGGGCTGCTGCAAGGTGGTCACTGGGAGACTGGTGTCATGTTTTTAAAAGGCGTTAACTGTGTTTGTCCCTTGATAATTCCTGTCTTTGCCTCCCATACACCACCATGATTATCCTGCATCCCACAGCAGCAAAAAATCATATCCAACAAAACAAAACCAATGAGTGGGGAAGCCTGACTGAGCCTCTGCCTGAGTCACCACTGGTGACTGTGTTTCAGGAAAGGGCAAGAATCCCAGGCAAGCATCAAGAGTGGAACCTGGAATCTGGGTGAGACAACAGCCAGCCCCACCCCAAACCCCAGAAGAGCAGAGTAAGAACCTTCCATCAAGGCACAGAAGCAGGGGAGAGCAGCCTGCAGGGCATAAAGGAATGGAATGAAGGGGGTGTTGGTAAATGTCTAAGTTGACAGCTGACATCAAGGACCAGATGGTGCCCCTGCACTGGCACCACGTAAGTCTCAAAGTTTAGGTGCAGTCACTGGGAGGCGAGAGAATCCTGCATTGACCGAGGAAGACTTTTTCTAGCCCTGTGGAGATGGCCCCAAATAGAAATAAACTGGAGTTATGGAAAGAGGAGGCAAGTCTTATTACCCACACACAGAACTGGGGACTATGATTCATGTCAGCCACACATGTTAAAAGATTTAAAGGCCCTTTCTTCAGGCAGGAGAATGCTGGGCTTGTTTGCAGAATGGATGTGGGAAAGAGGGGAGGGGCCAGTTCCGAATCTGGAAGTGTGTATATTGGGGTCGGGGGCGATGAAAACAGGCTTACAGGGGGCAAGGGCAGAGTGGGGGTGGGGAGGAATCATGTGGCAGGACGACATTGTTTGGCCTCTTTTCCCAAGGAAGGGAGTGAGGAGGCAGGGATGAATGTCTGAGCATAGAGTAAGTTTTCCAGGACATGGGCTCTGTTGCCAATTTTCTTTTAGAAGCAAGAGCTGGCTCCCAGCCTGGGCAAGCAGGCCCCTCTCCCTGGGACCACACTCAGCCCAGCAGGGTATCCTCGACTTCACATAGCTCTTTACTTATGCACCCTGGAACTTGCCCACATTGGCACCTGCTGGGCCAGCCGCTGACAAATAGCTCCTCAGTGAAGAGCTCTGATGTGTGTGCTCTGAGATCAGGAAACCAGAAAGAAATTGTGCTAAGCCTCACACTGGGTGTCAAAATGAAGACAGAGAAGAAACCAAAGGAAAACAAACAAACAGAAAGAATCTTCAAAAATGCCCCTGATTTACCTTTTCAAGAAATCCATATGTTATTGTTTTACTTAGAATAGATAATAGAAAACTAAATAGCATCTTCTTTTAATTTCCTGATATGTTTCATCCCCATCTTGAAAGCGGCAGCAGGCACAAAACAAGCGGATGTGACAACTTCCATGACCTCCTTCCAATCAAGCAACAAACAAGGCACAGTCCCTGTGCACATGCCTTGTGGTCTGCTACAAAAGAAAGGCCACTTCTGTCTGAAGGGCTCCACTAATTCTTTCTCTTGGAAGTGATTCAGGCTTGGGTCCCCTTGACCTGCACCATATGTGATTATCTAGGTTGGTATAGTTTGCTTAATGTGTGCAATTATAAAAATGGCTCTTGTAACCAATAAGCCTGGTAGCTTTCCACAGATCTGCTTCCAAGCAAGAAATACGCATCCATGACTCTGAGTCTGGCAGGACATTTACAGATGGAAGGTGAAAAATGGGTCTAAAACAGCGGATTTCCAACAATGGTGGTTGGATTCCTTAAATTTCTTAGACTTTTCAGGGTTTCTCCTTATGGGGAGAAGAAGAGCCATGAGTCTCCCCCACCGCCACCTCCCCACCCCATGCTTTCTTCAAATGAAGGAATTCTGTTTGCTAATTTCATCTGGGGAAAAATAAAATAGGTTGCCAAAATAGTCTTGAAAACCATGGAACTAAGACAACCAAGAATGGATCGTAAGAAGCACAAAGCCTTCACTCCATATGGAAAAATGGGCAGTATGGGATTTTTGTACATTTTGGACTTAATCACTGCTGTCTTGATCGGAGTTATGTAATAAAATGTTAAGAAAACCAGTGTGAAGATCATCATTTGAAGCTTGGTCCTATCCAGGTGGGAATGATGACGTCAAGGTCCATGCAGGGCCTTGCCCTCTTCTTTGAATAAGGGTCATGCCTGGGGAGTAGTTGCTTTTCCTGGAAGCCCCACTTTGGGCTCACTAGTACTTCAAACAGCAGGCGAGGCCATCTTATCCAGAGATGCCACAGCTCAGATGGGTGTTCAGAGGGACAGCCATGCCAACTTTTCCTCTTTAATCTCCGCCTGGGCTGTGGGGCAGGAACACTGGCGTTTATATCCTGGGCTGCCACTTTCTGTCTTCGTGACCTTGACAGCTTACTCTTTGAACTCCAGCTTCTTCATCTGTGAAGTAGGGAGGACAGTGCCAATCTCATGAAGGGACTGTAAGAATGAACTCGGACAACTGGTGCGTCACGTGTAGTGTGATGCATGGCACAGAGCAGGCGCTTACCGCTTTTCAACATCTCTATCACCATCATCATCACCAGGAACTCGGGAGTGGGTAGGGTGTAGTTCAGTGACTGAGCAGTAGCTGGGGCTGCACGTGTGCCCTTTGTGATATTCCAGTGCAACATGTGGCATGGAGGCACAGTACAGTCATTCCAGGATTAACTCCAAATTCTCTAGTTCTTTCTTCATTTGGGAAGGGCCAGGTCTCCTGCCCGCTGGGCCTGCTGATGTCAAGTGTCCCTTGGAGATTAACTGGAAGGGCATGAACTGGTCTTCCACTCACAAGATAACGACATGAGGCAGTTTTAAAAAGAGCATCTCCTTGAATTCTCCCTCCCGTCCTAGACTTGGGGTGTCAAAGCAGGATCAGCTGTGTCTGGTGTTGTGAACCCCTTGAAGTCTGGCTTGTTAAAGAAGTCGAAATGCTTAGTGGATTTCCTGGGGGGAATGGCTCAAAATAACTTAACAGAGGGTGGCTTGAAAGATGGAAAAAAGGCATTTTGTTCCTTCAAGGAGACTGTCAAATACTCAGTCCAAACACCCCCGTAACTAATTCATTACTTTGCACCAAGCAGACATCTTTTAAATTAGGCAGAATACAAATGAGTCTTGTTTTGTGCCATTAATTTCAATGGTTTTACACAATATTTGAATCACTGGCTTTTCTTCTCCTTTGGAGGCAGACCAAATCAGGCTGAATCTACTTGCATTAAAAGCCATTCATGGGACCCAGCCAGCCTCATCCTGCAGATGGAACACCATATGTTTTGGCTCGCCCCCCCATATGGAATAGTAATATGCAATCCAGGAATAGAATGCGCTATTTCTTTACATCTGCATTCCCGGTCACCTCCAACCCACAAGCACTTTCCATTCTGGACAGAAGTAGGCAAATTAGTCAGAAAAAGATTCAGAAAGATGCCGAGCATCTGAACGGATGGTTTTTGTTAACTCTGGTTCCTTTTAGACTCAAGACCTTAAATGTAATCAGCTCCAAAAGTTTAGTGCTCTATGATATGGTATTTGTAAGTATTCCATTTTCACTTTTCCAGGAATATGTTTGGCCTTTTAACTTGAAAGCATAATATTTGACTTTTTGCTATGGCTCTGGAGGCTCTAGAAGTTGTGAGTTAAGTAGTCCATGCAAAGGCATTTGAACTTGATTTGATATTTTTGGGGAAGATCTCAGGATGGAAGAGCAGGAGCATTGTGGCTCAGGAGATACTCTGGTAAAAATGGCATCTGGTCACATATACAACTAGAATAAGCCTTCAGTTTTTGAAAGGACTTGATGGGAGGGATGGGCCAAAGGTAAGTAAGAGGCAAGGGCTCCTTCTCCCATTAATTCGAGGTGGGGTGGTTGAAAGAGCACTGAACTGGGAGTCTGGTCTTTGTTGTTGACCAGCAGCGTGACCTTGAGCACACTGCTATGATATGATAGGAACATGATCTAATGATGTTCCTTACCAATAAAATAAAGAAACTAGGTAGAACTGGTAATGGCAAATAGATTTTATCCCTCATGCCATCTTGCACTGGTGGGTACTGCCGAGGCTAGGCTCAGAGGCAGGGTGGTGAGATGAATTAATACTTGCCATGAATATGTAGTCTGAGAACGAATGTGCTCTCCACTTATCCAATTCAGAACAGAATAGAATGTGTCCAAGGTCCCTTCCGGCAACACCATTTTTCAAACTATGATTCAGTTACTTCAGCAATTGACCTTAAGAAGCCTGGGCACTATTTGGAAACCTCTTAATGACTGAAGAAGGGCATTTCAGCTTCCACATCACTCTATCACACTAGGAGAGCCTCTGTAAAAAAAACTCCTATAAACATCTGTCCATTGCTGTGAAGTTTTACTTCCTGGCTAGGGAAGAGTTCTAGTAACAGACTATTCAATGTCATGAAAACACAGACGCTGCTAATCTGGAATTCTGATTTTAATGCGGTTGTAAACCAGAGGCAAGGGGCAGATAATGGAATTTCATCTAGTTTCAGATTGCCAAGATGTGCCTCACATTTCTTGCAGTTCTCTTAAGTTTTAATCAGCTATTATCATGGCTCTTAAGTTACCAAATATCTATTTTCTGGGACCTTAGAGATTGTGCTGTAAGACATTTGGCTTCTGAGATTGCCCGACCTTTATAAACTGTCACTGTAACAGCATGTTAAAACGAGACTCTCTGCTTCTCTTTTATGCAAGATGACTAAGGCCCAAATCTAAAACACTGCAGGTACGTACCCTCACATTTCAAAGCTTGCTAAGCATCTATTCAGGACTTGCCAATGGGGATGACCTAAAACCAGTGTCCTGACCCTTAGACTGTCACCCATCTCAGTGTAAAACCATCAAAATTGGCTACTGGAAAGAGAGGATATTTGGGGAGAGAGTTGCCAGTATGTGGTATGATTTGCTATTAAAACATAGCCCTAATCTATGCACTGTAGGGGAGGGGAGGTAAAAGAAGTGAGAGAAGCCATTGGAAGGGCCACCTGGAAAGCTAGAGAGGCATCCATGGAATTGAGGGCACAGTCTGGCCTGGAGTCCGACACATCTCAGATCTACAGACAGTTTTTCAGGCTGAGGCACCAGGGCTGGGAGAACTGGGGCTGCTGGGAGGCCATGTTGTGAATTTCCTCTGAGTTGAATGGTCATGAGGGGGAGACTTGGCCTGGAGATGCCTTAAAAGGGACTTTGCCCAAGAAATTCAACTGGAAAGATAATGAGACCCTAGCAGAGAGCATCTCTGAAGGGTCTTCAGAGTTCCCAGAAGCCAACAACTGGAATTGTTAAGTGGCCAGTTAGAGGAGGCATCTGCCATGGCTAGAGGCATAGGAGGAGAAGGTGGAGCTAGGAGAGAGAAAAATTGAGTCTTCCTTTCCTTTTCCACTCTCTCACAATCAGGCATGAAAGCAGCAAAGATTTCAAGGATGGAAAACAATCTAAATTCATTCATCTATTAATAGTTTGTTCCTTTTTATTGCTGAGTAATATTTTATTCTATTGCTATTTTGCAATTTGATTATTCATCCTTCTGTTGATAATGATGTGGATCGTTTCCAGTTTGGGGCCATTAGGAATAACACTGCTAAGAATGTTCATGTACAAGTCATTGTGAGAACATATATTTTCATTTCTCTTGATTAAATACCTAGGAGGAGAACTGATGGCTGACAGAGTAACTGTATGTTAACTTATTAATACAAGGAACATGCTGTTTTTTTTCTGTATTGTTTCATTTCAGTACATATGCTGACAAAGTGAGCACTGCTTGGTTATTTTTGACTGTGTGCTGCTCATTTTCTGGAAAACTTATTTGTGAGAAGTCTTTTTTGGGCTAGGATGAAAGTGTCTTCCTCTGGAGAATGTTCACTTTGGCTTTTGCAAGGGGCCTTAGCAGCCCAGGATCACTTTCAACTACATTTAGGGCTGGAAGTTTATTTTGGACTATCCGTGTGATGAACATCTGGGCTGAAAATTTACATAAATGCCAGCTTTTGGTCATGATTGTTCCAAGAGGACTTCTTGATTTTTATCCCCTGCTTTGTTGAGTGCCAGAGCACCTGTCCTTGCAGACCCCTGGGTATAAATGGAAGCTTTATGGAATGGATTTCTTCCTAGTCCTCTGTTATCCTGGTAGTGTAATGTTTGTTATCTCACAAAAGGAAAACTTAATTTCACTCAGTTTGGCAATGCCTTTTATCAAAACAGACCTCAGTGCTCAATTTACCTCCCTAGATTTCTGCTTTCATTTAGGTTTTGGATGGGACATTCATTATACTTCCATTAGTGTTTTTATGTTTGTAAGGTATTTTAAATATTTTATCTAGCATTTTTGGTTGCCTTCAGAAAACTTCTCCAGATAAAAGGTATATTCCCAGATAAAAGGTATATCAGTCTATTTTCATCCATTTTGCTGGACATTTTGTGAGTTTTTTTTTAAAAATTAAAAATTTATTTCTGTTGTTAATAATTTTTTTTAGTTATTTATTTGATACTTATTTTTCGCCTTTAAGTTTTCTCCACTTACTTTGGAACTACAATTATTTGGATGATAGACCTCCTATATTGATGTTAGTCTTTTTGCCCTGTTTTCTGGGAGAATCCTTCAATGTTTTTCAAGTGCTTCTATGGAATTTTATTTTTTGCTCTTATATTTTTAATTATAAGAGCTCTTTTTTGTTCTGTGAATGCAGTTTTCTTTTTTATAGCATTTTTGGTCATATCTTTTGAGTGAAATACTTTATTTTACTTCATTGAAATGATTAATCTCAATGCTTCATCTTCTCTTGATTAATCTTTGTTCTTCCAAGCTGCCATCTTTGACTTGTTCTAGCCTCTATTTTTTTTTTTTTATTATACTTTAAGTTTTAGGGTACATGTGCACAATGTGCAGGTTAGTTACATATGTATACATGTGCCATGTTGGTGTGCTGCACCCATCAACTCGTCATTTAACATTAGGTATATCTCCTAATGCTGTCCCTCCCCGCTCCCCCCACCCCACAACAGTCCCCAGAGTGTGATGTTCCCCTTCCTGTGTCCATGTGTTCTCACTGTTCAATTCCCACCTATGAGTGAGAACATGCGGTGTTTGGTTTTTTTGTCCTTGGTGATAGTTTGCTGAGAATGATGGTTTCCAGCTTCATCCATGTCCCTACAAAGGACATGAACTCATCCTTTTTTATGGCTGCATAGTATTCTGTGGTATATATGTGCCACATTTTCTTAATCCAGTCTATCATTGTTGGACATTTGGCTTGGTTCCAAGTCTTTGCTATTGTGAATAGTGCCACAATAAACATACGTGTGCATGTGTCTTTATAGCAACATGATTTATAATCCTTTGGGTACATACCCAGTAATGGGATTGCTGGGACAAATGGTATTTCTAGTTCTAGATCCCTGAGGAATCACCACACTGACTTCCACAATGGTTGAACTAGTTTACAGTCCCACCAACAGTGTAAAAGTGTTCCTGTTTCTCCACATCCTCTCCAGCACCTGTTGTTTCCTGACTTTTTAATGACCGGCATTCTAACTGGTGTGAGATGGTATCTCATTGTGGTTTTGATTTGCATTTCTCTGACGGCCAGTGATGATGAGCATTTTTTCATGTGTCTTTTGGCTGCATAAATGTGTTCTTTTGAGAAGTGTCTGTTCATATCCTTCGCCCACTTTTTGATGGGGCTGTTTGTTTTTTTCTTGTAGATTTGTTTGAGTTCATTGTAGATTCTGGATATTAGCCCTTTGTCAGACGAGTAGATTGCAAAAATTTTCTCCCATTCTGTAGTTTGCCTGTTCACTCTGATGGTAGTTTCTTTTGCTGTGCAGAAGCTCTTTAGTTTAATTAGATCCCATTTGTCAATTTTGGCTTTTGTTGCCATTGCTTCTGGTGTTTTAGACATGAAGTCCCTTGCCCATGCCTATGTCCTGAATGGTATTGCCTAGGTTTTCTTCTAGGGTTTTTATGGTTTTAGGTCTAACATTTAAGTCTTTAATGCATCTTGAATTAATTTTTGTATAAGGTGTGAGGAAGGGATCCAGTTTCAGCTTTCAACATATGGCTAGCCAGTTTTCCCAGCACCATTTATTAAATAGGGAATCATTTCCCCATTTCTTGTTTTTGTCAGGTTTGTCAAAGATCAGATGGTTGTAGATATGCGGCATTATTTCTGAGGGCTCTGTTCTGTTCCATTGGTCTATATCTCTGTTTTGGTACCAGTACCATGCTGTTTTGGTTACTGTAGCCTTGTAGTATAGTTTGAAGTCAGGTAGTGTGATGCCTCCAGCTTTGTTCTTTTGGCTTAGGATTGACTTGGCAATGCGGGCTCTTTTTGGTTCCATCTGAACTTTAAAGTAGTTTTTTCCAATTCTGTGAAGAAAGTCATTGGTAGCTTGATGGGGATGGCATTGAATCTATAAATTACCTTGGGCAGTATGGCCATTTTCATGATATTGGTTCTTCCTACCCATGAGCATGGAATGTTCTTCCATTTGTTTGTATCCTCTTTTATTTCACTGAGCAGTGGTTTGTAGTTCTCCTTGAAGAGGTCCTTCACGTCCCTCCTAAGCTGGAATCCTAGGTATTTTATTATCTTTGAAGCAATTGTGAATGGGAGTTCATTCATGATTTGGGTCTCTGTCTGTTATTGGTGTATAAGAATGCTTGCGATTTTTGCACATTGATTTTGTATCCTGAGACTTTGCTGGAGTTGCTTATCAGCTTAAGGAGATTTTGGGCTGAGACGATGGGGTTTTCTAGATATACAATCATGTCATCTGCAAACGGGGACAATTTGACTTCCTCTTTTCCTAATTGAATACCCTTTATTTCCTTCTCCTGCCTGACTGCCCTGGCCAGAACTTCCAACACTGTGTTGAATAGGAGTAGTGAGAGAGGGCATCCCTGTCTTGTGCCAGTTTTCAAAGGGAATGCTTCCAGTTTTTACCCATTCAGTATGATATTGGCTGTGGGTTTGTCATAGATAGCTCTTATTATTTTGAGATACGTCCCATCAATACCTAATTTATTGAGAGTTTTTAATTTTAGACCAATATCCCTGATGAACATCGATGCAAAAATCCTCAATAAAATACTGGCAAACCGAATCCAGCAGCACATCAAGAAGCTTATCCACCATGATCAAGTGGGCTTCATCCCTGGGATGCAAGGCTGGTTCAACATACGCAAACCAATAAACGTAATCCAGCATATAAACAGAACCAATGACAAAAACCATATGATTATCTCAATAGATGCAGAAAAGGCCTTTGACAAAATTCAACAACCCTTCATGCTCTAGCCTCTATTTTTTATATTAGAGACTTTTCTCAGAACTCTGGTGATCCTTGAGTACTCATTTAACATTATGCACCAAAATGGTGATTAAAAATTCTGTGTGTGTGGTTTTGTGTTAGCTAGGAGAGACTAGACTTATGTTTTGAAATAAACAACAAACAGTTCTCAGTGGTTTAGAAAAAGAAAGTTTAGATTCTCACACAGCATATCTAGTGATGTTTTCTATAGAACTCTACTCCACACTCAGGGGACCAGGTTCATGGAGATTCCATCATTTTATAGTTGCTTCATCCGGACCATGCAGTCTCTTTGGGTACCTCAGCAGGGACAGCCAGACAATTGTATACTGGTTCTTATATGTTTCAGTCCATGCCACTTCTGCCTATAGTCAATTGGTCATATCAAGTCACAGTTAGGCTCCACCTAACTCCACCTAACTGGAAGTGGGTTGGAAAATGTGGAGTTGCAAATGGAATGCTTATTAACCACTGCTGCCTTTGACACAAGCTTTTTTTTTTTTTTTTTTTCTTTCTTTCTTTTTTTTCTATGAGCTTCAGTATACAGTGATCTGGCTGGCTTCTGGTATCAGTATCTTAATGGTTTTTCCTCTTGAACTGCTCAGAAGCCTTAAAAAAAATCTTTTCTAATTGCCTACCAAGAAGGTGAGTCCTGGAAACCAATGTTCTGGAAGCTGAGATGGGAAAGAAGGATAGAATCTGGGTTGGAGGTGGGGGCTCTATCAGCATTCAGTACGGACATAGTCATTCAGCCCCTGTTTTTAGTTGGTGCCCTTGTTCTATACCTGTCCCTGGTGTTCACAGTTTTTTGGCTCCAGCCTTTCCAGTGTTGGGTGTTTGAGAAGCCACCTTCCAGTTTCCCAGAGGGGAGAGGCAACCTGAAGGCCTAATTGCTCCTTTAAAGTCTTTTAATCAGTTTTTCTGTTTTCAGTCTCATCTTCATCCTCACATTCATGGGCACCTGGTGCCTCCTTTCCTGAAGCCAGCTTACAGCGTAGCCAAGTCAATTCCCACTCATCCATCTGCTTTTTTTCTTCCAAATGTCTCTTCTTGTTTTCTCTCCAATTATTTATGTGCCAGTGGATTTGTATTCCTTTTTATCATTTTAATGGGGGTTCTGGAGGAAGTAGAGTTAAATGGATGCTTTCCATCCCCATCTTTATACAGTCCTATTCCCACAATTCTTAGGAAATGGGCTTTTTTGTTGGATGACTATGACTGGAATCCTACATATATCTTATCATTTTAAATTGTTTTTACTTGGAACTTGGAACAGTTCTGTACCACTGCTATTCATGAAGCAAAAATAAAAAGCATTTTTTAATTCACCCTCTATTCCTCCTCATTAGGGAGGGTGATAAGCATATTTCTTAGCTTTGAAGCATTTTTGTAGATGACAGATCATGGTCAGTTGGAGGAAGCTTCCTCGAAGAGGAGTGTTGAAAGTAGAAAGGTAGTTTTCTTTCTCACCATCCAGAACAAAAATTTATCCATCAAATATCCCCTCAACACCTAAAACTGTTGTACTGTTACTCTGGTACCATAAGCCTTAGAATGTGAAAGAATAGTCTACCGTGGCCTTATCATGGACTTTTTCAACTCAGAAAAGTCATCATGTTGCTTAATGTTTAAGAGTTTCTTTAATTTTAAAAAAAATTATTTTTTTAGATGTTTAATATCTGTATAGTTACTATGATTTAGCCAATCCAAGAACAGTGGTAGAACCTGCCTTGTTTCATATGTGTGTGTGTGTGTGTGTGTGTGTGTGTGTGTATGTGTATTTTTTTGAATCAAGACATAATTGTACATATTTATAGGGTACATGTGATATTTTGCTATATACATGTAATGCGTAATGATCAAATCAAGTAATTAGGATGTCTATCACCTCAAACATTTATTATTTCTTTGTGTTGGGAACATTCCAAATCTTCTCTCCTAGCTGTTTTGAAATATATAATAAATTATTATTAACTGTAGTCACCCTACTGTGCTATTGAACACTAGAACTGGTTTCTTCTATCTAACTGCATTTTCATACCCTTTAATCAACCTCTCTTCATTCCTCCCTCCTCTCCACCCTTCCCAGCCTCAGGTAACCATCATTTTACACTCTACCTCCACTTTTTTAGTTCCCACATATGAGTAAGAACATGTGATATTTATCTTTCTGTGCCTGGCTTATTTTACTTTAACACATGACCTTCAGTTCCATCCATGTTGCTGCAAATGACAAGATTTCATTCTTTTTTATAGCTGAATGACATTTCATTGTGTATACATACCACATTTTCTTTATCCATTCATATGTTGATAGACACTTAGGTTGATGCCATATCTTAGCTATTGTGAATAGTGCTGCAATAAACATGGGTGTGCAGCTATCTCTTTGACATACTAATTTCCTTTCTTTTTGATATGTACCCAGCAGTGGGATTGCTGGATCATATGGTAGGTCTATTTTTGGTTTTTTGAGGAACCTCCATACCGTTTTCCATAATGGATGTACTAATTTACATTCCCACCAACAGTGTACTAGCATTCCCCTTTCTCTGCATCCTCACCAGCTTTTGTTATTTTTTTGTATTTTTGATAATAGCTGTGTTAATTGGGGTGAGACAATATCTCATTATGGTTTTGATTTGCATTTCCCTTATTTAGTGATATTGAGCATTTTTCTTTCTTCTTTTTCTTTTTGAGAGAGGTTCTCACTCTGTTGCCCAGGCTGGAGTGTAGTGGTGCAGTTACAGCTCACTTGTAACCTTGAACTCCTGGGCTCAAGTGATCTTCCTGCCTCAGCCTCCCAAGTGGCTAGGACTATAGGTGTGCACCACCATGCCTGGCTAAACATTTTTTCATATGCTCGTCAGCCACATGGATGTCTTATTTTGAAAAATCTGTATTCAGCTAACATTCCACTGTGTACATATACCACGTTTTAATAGAATTATTATTAACTATTGAGTTGTGTGCATTCCTCATATATTCTGGTATATATAAATTCTTTATATATTCTTGTTGGATGGATAGTTTGCAAATATTTTCTCCCATTCTGCAGGCTATCTCTTCACCCTGTTTATTGTTTCCTTTGCTGTGCAGAAGCTTTTTAAAAATTTATTTACTTTTTAATTTTATTTTTATTTTTTGAGACAGAGCTTTGCTCTGTTGCCCAGGCTGGAGTACAGTGGCACGATCATGGCTCACTGCAGCAGCCTTGACTTCCCCGGCTCAAGCTCTTCTCTCACCTCAGCCTCCCAAGTAACTAGGACTACAAGCATATGCCACCATACCCAGCTAATTTTTTCTGTTTTTTGGTAGAGATGGGAGTCTCACTATGTAGCCTGGGCTGGTCTTGAACTCCTGGGCTCAGGTAATCCTCTCGCCTCAGCCTTCCAAAGTGCTGAAATTTCAGATGTGAGCCACCGCACCAGGCCAGAAACTTCTTAGCTTGATATAATCCCATTTGTTTTGGTTGCCTGTGCTTTCAAGGTCTTATCCACACAAAAATATTTTTTCCTGGCCAATGTCCTGAAGTGTTTCCCCAATCTTTTCTTCTAGTAGTTTCATACTTTCAGGTCTTATATTTAAGTTTTTAATCCATTTTGATTTGATTTTTGTATATGGTGAGAAATAGGGATCTAGTTTCATTCTTTTGCATATGGATATCCAGTTTTCTCAGCACCATTTATTGAAGAGACTGTCTTTTTCCCTAGTGTATAGTCTTGGCACCTTTGTAAAAAATGGATTGGCTGTAAATGTGTGGATTTATTTCTGAATTCTCTATTTTACTCCATTGGTCTATATGCTTGTTTTTATGTTAGTACCATGCTGTTTTGGTTACTGTAGTTTGTGGTAAATTTTAAAGTCAAGTAGTGTTTCCAGCTTTGTTCTTTTTGCTCAGGATGCTTTGGCTATTCAGGTCTTTTGTGGTTCCATATGAATATTAGGATTGTTTTTTCTATTTCTGTAAAGAATGTCATTGGCATCTTAGTAGAGACTATACTGAATCTGTAGATCACTTTAGAAGTATGAACTTTTTAACAATATTAATTCTTGCAATCCATGAGCATGGAATATCTTTCAATTCTTGTGAGTGCCCTCTTCCACCTTTTTTTAAATCATGTGTTATACTTTTCATTATAGAGATCTTTTACTACCTTTGTTAAATTTATTCCTAAGTATTTTATTATACTATTTTTGTAGCTATTGTAAATGGGATTGCTTTCTTGATTTATTTTTCAGGTTGTTCACTGTTGGGGTATAGAAATGCTACTTATTTTTGTATGCTGATTTTGTAACTTGAAAAATCACTTTACTGAACTTGTTTATCCACTCTAACAGTTTTTTGGTGGAGTCTTTAAATTTTTCTAAATATGATGCTATGTCATCTATGAACAAGGATAATTTGACTTCTTCCTTTCCAATTTAGATGCTGTGATTTATTTAAAGCTTGATGAAAGCCAAGTTTGTCCTCCTTATAAAGAGTCATAAGAGACCCCATTCCAGAAACACATTGCAATGTAGCTAATATTTTGCATGGAGAATACGGCAGAATAAATGGAGAGGTCAGGGGAGTGTATTGGGACACAGGGACAGTATGTGGAGATTGTAGCCTGGGATAGGCTCTCACGGGCTTCATTGCGTCCCCAGTAGAAGTGTGTTATTGTTTTACTTTCCAAAGGGAGGACAAACACAATGCTTTGCGCTTGGGATTTGGCTTCTGAACCCTGGTATAATGTTGAGAAGATTATTGGGACTCAGTTAACGTACACTGATGTTAAGTCTACTCTGGATGTATGTTAGGCATCTTGGACCTACCCCCTATAAACACATATGTGAGAACATTTGACATTATTTAATCCTCTGGTATAGAGCCAAGGCCTTTTGAGTTAAGCCCTGGTGGCAATGCCTAGTGTCATGCATAGGAATCAAGGGCCAGAATTATAAATCCAGAACAGTTCTCCTTGCTATCTAAATGTTTCCTGCCTTTAGAACATCCATTTTTGAGTCTAGCCTATGACTGAGTGTTTCCCTGGGAAACCTCATAGCAATTCCAGAATAGAAATCATGTTGTTCTCAAAATTCTCTCTCAGAACTGGTAAGGGCAATGCCTGAGTCAAAAGCAGGCAGGGCACCTCTTTGTGCCCCAGCTTCTAGACCCTCACATTGTGCATGCTATTTTAAAATAGGCTGAGTTCAAAGTCAAGACCCGGTACAGCCAGAAGCATGGCTAGAGAGTCCTATGGAGGAGTGAACCCAGAGATGAGCTCTGTTGGCATCTATGCTGTTGGGTGTGAGGTTATAAGCACTGATAAAACACTACCATGTCGTTATGTGTCATTATGTTTGATTTCATCTGGCTTCATCTTTCACACTTGATCTTAGCCAAAAGGCCAAGAAGTGATCACCTGGCTTCATCTTTCATGAGTCTTAATGACTGTCATGCCAACTTACTAAACACTTTTGAAAAGTCATCACTTTGTAGAATGGCCTTCTCTGTTGTCCTCTTCCATGACCTCCAAATAGTGGTGGCAGACCCTGGGTGGATACTCCTGTTCGTACCCCCCTCCAAACCCTCACATTTCTTTTTAACAGAGAGGCAAATTGTGGAGCACCTTACTGTTTAGAGTGCTGCATTTCTTCCTGTCATTCATCTCTTCCTGTAGTTGGGAGTGAGCTCTGACTTAGGACTTCATCACACATCCTTAATTCCCATGGACAGGGTGAGTAAGAATTATTCCTTTGTTTGGAATGGAAAACCAAGTCTCCTGGAGATTGTAAGAACTTTGGTGGGATTCTGGCTGAAGACATCATGAGGTGCTTAGACTCTGCTCTTCGTGTCAAAGAAAAGTCCTTCTCTTTCCAGGCCAGAGTAAAAAAATACTGGGTCATGTTTACCTGGCTTGGTTATCTATGAAGCTACTACTGCTTTTCTTCTCAGCCTCTCTTCTCTGTCTAGTTTTACTCCATGAGACAATGGCGAGAGACTTCTATTGTCCCCGAGAAAGACAAGGAGAAAGCTGATCTGCACCTCAGTGGCCTGTGCAGTTGATCATAATCCTGGGAAACCCCATAGTATTTCCTGAAAGACTGGACTGGCGACTAGCCGACTTTCAAAGGCCATCTGCAGAACTTCTGAAGAGGCACCTGGGAAGTTAGAGCAGAGGCTTGCCAGGACTCCTCCTCTGTGCTCTAGCTTGAAGATTAACAATGTCAAGTTGAGAGTAGGCAAAAAATGTCATGCTCACAGACAGCACCAGACAACTAGGGCTCAGTTGAAGTTGGTGGGGGAGACATGCAGTGCCAGCATCAGGACCATCTGGGAAAGAACATCTAGAGAGTGGGAGACATAGCTGCATGGAAATGCTGAGAAATAAGGACACCTAAACTGAGGCCCCTGGATTGGGAGAAACTTGTCCTTGGCAGTGCACTGCAGATGCACTGCAGGAAGGACATGATAGGTTGTAGAAATTTCCTAGATTATTGTATGAAGCAGGGCAGTGTTGTGGAAAGAGCATGGGCTCAGAAATCTGACTCGTGATCCCTGGTTGGTTGTGTGTCCCTGGACAAAATTACCTAAGAAGTCTGAGCTCTATTGCCTCATGTGAAAAATGTGGGTGATATATATAAAGCTGCTCACTGTTCACAATAGGAAAGCCTTGGAGCCAACCCAAACGCCCATCAATGATAGACTGGATAAAGAAAATGTGGCACATATACACCATGGAATACTATGCAGCCATAAAAAAGGATGAGTCTACGTCCTTTTCAGGGACATGGATGAAGCTGGAAACCAACATTCTCAGCAAACTAACACATGAACAGAAAACCAAGCACACATGTTCTCACTCATAAGTGGGAGTTGAACAATGAGAACACATGGACACAGAGAGGGGAACATCACACACCAGGGCCTGTAAGGGGGTGGGGGGCTAGGGGAGAGATAGCATTAGGAGAAATACCTAATGTAGATGATGGGTTGATGCGTGCAGCAAACCACCATGGCACGTGTCTACCTATGCAACAAACCTGCACGTTCTGTACATGTATCCCAGAACTTAAAGTATAATTTTTTTAAAAAAGCAAATTATATATATATATGGCTGTTAACATAGTTCTTAGAGAATTGTGGACCTCCGATGTACTGGATTTAGGAAACTAACATTCATTGCCACTCCCTTCAAAGCTCTTTGCCATATTTGTGTGGTTGGAATTCTGGGAACTGTTGCATTTCCTGGCATCCCATACCAGCAAGACTCTGACTGGGACTCCACCAATGGGAGGCACCCATGCATGATTTGAAAAGCAGAAGAACAACAGAGGTCATTCTTATTCCTGCAACAAGACAGAATCACCTGGGAGTCAGGAAACAGTAGACCTGCCGGAGGTTTCGCCAGTGGCTTACGGGACCTCCTGCTACAGTTTACCCTCTTTTGGGTGGTGAGAGACACAGGTTCTGGTGGCAGCTTCCTGAGGTTCCTGTATGTTCTAATTTCCTGAAATTAGTGGTAGTTTTTTCTGACTTTCATTCTCTTAGTTCATCCAACAGTGTGGTAAGCCTCAAATTATCTGCATTAAATCCTTCTTTATTTGAAATGCTTGGAGAAGTTTCTGTTTTCCTGACCGAATCTTACTAACATATCTGCAGAATAAAGTGCAAAAAAATGCAAAAAGAAGGTGAGAATGAGTAGTCTTATATTTTCTTAGTAAGAAAGAGAAACATTTGAATATCTGAAGGATAGACTCCGGGGACTCTAATTGGAACAACTGAGGTTGCTCTAAGAATTGGGAAGACTTGGCTCAGGTTTAGCCAGTAGAGCTCGAGGAAGAGAGGATGGGAAATCATAGGCATCGCAGTAAGAAGTGAGATTTCAAAATATCTGTAGATATTATCTATATTATCTTTATCTTATTTATAATCTTATTTATAAATAAGATAATTAAAGAAATATTTATCTTTCCCTGCTGCTGGACAAGGGATTCTTAACAGTGGAATGATCTCAAGAAGAATAAATTTAACAAAGAAAAATGTAACCCAAATGGAAAAATCATCTTCCTAGTGCTGATGCACATGAGACTGTAGCCGGAGAAGAGATGATTGAAATAAAGAGATTTACTCCATAATAGATGTGCACCCATATGACCTGCGGGGAGAGGAAGAAATCTATAATCTCAACAAAACGATAGCTTTTTAATGTTTTGCTGGACAAACATCCTGACCCCTTTTAAATGAATGTTATCCAAATCCCATTCAACTAGCCTTTTTGGAGTTTGCTAAATTATACAATTTGTCTTCCCCTTATCTGCAGAGAAGCATGAAGCCCCTCCTCCTGTCCAGACCACAAGGCACTTCTCAGAGAGGGTCTTAGGCTGTACCCTGGCATAATAGAAAGCCCATAATTTTGATACATTCAGCAATGTGATTGTCAATCAGCTCCTGCTTGCGAATGTTCCCTTCGCCTCCTTCTTCCATGCAGGTTTTAGGTAAAGGACAAAGCCTTATTTTAAACTCTGAGTCTTTATCTTATTTTCTACACAAAATCAATCAAGATAAGGGAGCAAATATGAAGAGAGACTTCATCAAGTAACAGGGATGTGTCTCTTCCATTATCAGTTGATGGCTACTCAGATTGGGGTTGAGAGAAGCAATTTCAGTGTTACATACTATCAAGATGGTTCCTCATATCTGAGATTTTATTTTCCTTGGAGTCTTGAATGCACTTCCTTCGGCACTAACACCAGCTGGAATGGAGTGCCTGGGGGTTGGGGCCCAGGAAATTCCTGTCTTTACCCATCTGGACTGCCCCAGGAATGATTTCTTTGGAGGCTCCCCAGGAAGAGTCAGGGGTCAGCCACTCTGGGGTCTACTCGGTGTGTGGGGTCAGAGAGAAGAATCACAAGCAGACTTGAGCTAGGGGAGGTTATGGCAGGGTGAGCCCAAGATGGACAGGCAAATGAAGCCGCTATACCTGAAGCCTGGGCACAGTGAAGCCCATGGCTGAGGAAATGAGAGGGAGCAGACTTCGCGCCCGGGAAGATGAGAGGGCCATCTTGGACGTAGTCAGAGGAGCTTGTGGTTGCTGGGTTGGGCTCTGACTTTTGTGTGCCTTTTATTAGTGACCTTGGATTCCCATGCCAGCCTGCCAGTCATGACTTAAGGGCATCCAGCTCCCTCTAATGCCTACTTTTTCTGTAGGCAAATTTAGTTTTACCCAAATCTACTGTTGGGTAGATTTGATGAGAAAAGCTATTATTTTGGAGGAAGCGTGTATATTAGGACAAGTAATGAACATGTATTTGTTTAGAAATGATTTAGGCGGCTTGTAAAGGAATAGTGTTATTTTTATATGTGTGTGGGCATAGTTCTGTTATGTTGGTAGAATTAAAAGTGTTAAGTAAATCAAGAGAGTGGGTCTCATTCTATAAGGACTAGGAGAAAGTGATGTGATGAAGAGGGGAGAGCCACTTAGCAAGGCCACGTGTGGGGTGACCCAAAGCACAGGTGGACGTTGAAAGTCGAACAGAGGGTGCAGCTGAGAACATGCCAGGCAGCCCCCACCCCATGCTGGTGGCTGTGGTTAGAGACAGTACTGGGCCCCACTTGCCCAGCTCAGTGATCTGTGGAGCAGCCACCACTTTCATCCTCAGCTCCCCATTTCTTTCCACTTTGACTCCCACAGGAGGGTAGTTGGAAACATCCATCCTCCCCCAGAAACACCAGGAGAAAACTGATCTGCATCTCAATTGCTTCTGCAATTGACAGTAAGCCTAGGAAACTATAGCATTCCCTCAATGGCTGGCCTGGTGACTGGTATTACAATCAGAAGATCCATAAACAAACCATGAAAACTATGATTAGAAGTGGAGCATTGAGGTCTCATTATACCTTGGGGGAGGGTGCAGAGGAAAGAGAATGAAGGCATGAAGGGGTGGACTTGGGTTGGACAAAAACAAGGTGAGGCTGCAGGTCTCAATGTTGACTGTGTGGGCACCTGCCTCTCCCTCCTCTGGCATCGCTGAGACCATTATCCACAAATCAAGGGCCTCGTGAATCGAGCTGGCCTCACCTGGGGCATCATCACGACCTAGTAGGGAGGCTGGGCAATGGTGGCAGGGCTTATTCCCCTGGTGGCTTTTGTAAATTGGCCAGGGTTGGCAGCAGTGTGATAGCTAGCGTCTTGAATGCTTCTTCTGTTCCTTGCTGCCACTGAAGAGGGTGGAGGTTTCCCAGAAGGGTAGACCAGAGAGTCAACATCCCACTATCAAAATCCCACTCATTCTTCAAGGTCCAGCTTATCTATCACCTTCTCTGTGAATCCTCTGAACCCCCTCAGTTGGTTGGATTGGCATTTCCTCTTTATTTCATTCTGCCATTGGCTGTGCATAATTGTTCCCCCCTTAGACTTGAGCTTCCTGAGGCAGGGACTGTGTGTCCTACAACGTCCACAGCAGGCGTAGTTCATTGCTGGCTCTCAGTGGTGTCTGTGAAGCTGGATGAATGAATGGAAGCACATACTCTTTGGCACACACATGGAGACCTCTTCTTGACCTATTCTTGTTGAGATCTATTGGGTGGCGCATCAGTGTAGGTTGTGTACTATGCATGTGTACTAAACCTCACAGCCCTGCAGCTAGAAGGGTGCGAAGCTTTGGATGTGGGGGTATGAGGGTCAGAGTGTCCCAGCCTTCACTCTTCCCCTGCAGCCTGTGTCTGTAGAGGAAAGGAGAGCTCCCTTCATGGGCACATGAACTACGTTCCTAAGGCTTATTTCAAAGTTCTGCTTCCATTCGGCAGTAAAGATGGTCCTAGAGAGAATGGATAAGTTAAGGAGGAAGGCATTGAAATGGGTGAGTTGGGGAAACAGCAGCAAGTATTCAAAGGCTACCCTCTCCTCTGTGAAGCTTCCCCTGAAGTGCCCTCTCTGGTGTAACCTCCTGCAAGTAGAGTTCCGGGCTCCTTTCCCTCTGTGCTCCCTCTCTCTACACAGCAGTATGCTCATTGTTCTACAACAGCTCTTACAGTGCTCTCCTGTGTCTGCTCTCTCTCCCCCTCCTACCACTGCATGGCAAGTCCCCATAGGAGCAAACACAGGGTGTTCATATGCCAGGACGTCTAGTGGACACTCCCTGATGTTTCTTAAATGAATGGGTGAAGAAATCCCCTCGAAATTCATAGGTTGAAATCCTAGCCCCCAGGTGATAGTATTAGGAGGTATTAGGAGGTGGGGAGATAATTATGTCATGAGGGTGGGACGTTCTTGAATGAGATTGGTGACCTTATAAGAAGAGACATGAGACACCAGAGCTTGCCTCTGTCTCTCTGCTTTCTGCCATGGGAGAATATGGCAAGAAGACGGCCATCTGCAAGCCAAGAAACAAGCTCTCACCAAGAACTGAACCTGCTGGTACTTTGATGTTGGACTTTCCAGCCTCCAGAACTGTGAGAAATAAATGTTTGTTGTTTAAGCCACCAAGTCAATGTTATATTTGTTATAGTAGCCTAAACTGACTAAGATAGAGAGGAATGAATGAACGAATGAATAGGCTTCAATTGCTATACAGATTAGGGAGGCAGAGATTCCTAGAAGCAAGTTTCAACCTGAGTTTGATCCCTGTTCTGCCACTTACTAGCTATGGGACAAGCCATGGGCCTTGTCCATAAAATAGAGATAAATAACACCAGCCTCACAGGGGGTGGTGGAGGAATGAGTGGCCTAATCAAAGTGCTCGATGCCATAGCTGGCACACAGCAGACACTCAACAAGTGGAAGGTATGATGGCTGGTTACTTGACTCATTTAGGGTGCTGCAGGAACACAAAGCCATTCCAACATTCAATGAGGTGCTGACATTAGATTGAGGGTGCTGTCTGTTCTATCCCTGTGCTCCTAACTGTGGCTCTCAGGTAGAGGGAGACAGAGATTTCTGTTCCCTCAGTTGTTCAGGCCTAGAAACTGAGGTCTGGGGAGCCTACTTGTTGAGTAGCCAAAGATGAAAGATTTCAGTAAACTGGAAAGCATTCATCCATTCATTCAACAGGGATTCATTCATTATTGGGCACCTACTGCATGCCAGGCCATGCCTGCTTGCTTCAACAGTGAAGAAGGTAGGCTGAGCTAGGTACAAACTGAGTAGAACTTGCCACCAACTAGTCCTTGCCCCCTTGGCCTGAGAAAGCAGCCCCAGAGGAGAAGCAATGAGTTGCCAAGCATCTAATGCTCTGAGTGGGTGAAGAACTTAAGGCTGTATATCTAGTTTAATCACAAGAGCAACCCAGCCCGGCAAGCTTTTAATTTCCACTTTACTGATCATTGAGTGGCTGGATCCACTCTGCTCAGTCAGGAAGCTGAGGAGGCAGGGGTAGGGCCTGGGCCATCTGAGGTCCCCTATTTTCCCTGATGCTGCAAAGGAGGGCCTGATACCCCTTCCCTGCAGTAACCCAGCCTGATGCAAACACTTAATTTCAAGGCAAGCTGTTGGAGCAAGGGAGCCGATTAGGTGAGCTGGTAGCGTCTTGTAGCATTCAAGGACAATGCCCTGCACTTTAGCAGCCCATTTCGCTCTCCAGCTCTTCATTCGTTTGCTCTGTCCTCTGCTTTGTTGATTTCACTTCTCGCTTCCAGGCTGGCCTCTGCCAGAGAGTGATTCCACATTTTCCCAGCAGCCTGGCTGCCTCCCATCTCATCCTCAGACACTGAGCCAAGTGGCCCGGTATGTGCAAAGAAGGATGCTCAGCTTCCCTGGCAAATTCGAAAGGCAGCCGCAGCAGCCATGGGCCCAGGGCTATGTAGCCTGAGCCTGTCGCTGGTTCTGCACTAGGAGCATTTCCACTGGGTGGACCCGGGTGACAGCTGGGGTCGGAGAGGCGCTGGCGGCTGAGCCAGGTGTGGGGACAGCAACTGTGGGAACTGGCTGGATCACTCACCTACGAAGTCTAATGCTGTGGGTTTGGCTTGATCTCAGGCCTCAGTTTCTAGGCCTGAGCAAAATAGGTACATTTCTCTGTCTCCCTGTACCTGAAAGCTGCAGTTAGGATCATAGTGATAGAACAGACCACACCCCTAAATTAATGTCAGCACCTCATTTAATGTTGGCATGGCTTTGTCTTTCTGCAACACCCTGAGTCGAGTAGCTAGCTACCTTCCATTAGCTGAGTGTCTGCCGTGTGTCAGCCACTGCACTGAGCACTTTGACTAGACTGCTCCTTCCTCCATCACCCCCTCTGAAGCTGGTGTTATTTATCCCCATTTTATGACCTTCATCAGCTTCAGTGGCTGCAGATCAAGGTCAAGCTTAGAGGCTTCCTGCACCACTCTGGAACCTGAGGGCTTCAGTTTAAATTCCTGCTCAACCATTTCCCAGTTTTTTGGCCTTGGGGAAGTTTATCAACCTCTTGGTTCAGTTTCCTCCTCTGCAGAGTGAGAATAATAATAATGTCAACCTCAAATGGGTAGCTATGAGAATTAAATGATCTAGCCCATGTAAAGCGTCTAGTTAGTGCTCAGTGAACATTTCCTGTTCTTTTCTGGTCCTCAGACCCTCTTTCTGTTTCTGTCATCCTCTGGCCCTTCACTGTGTACCTCTCAGAGGCTATTCAAGGTGATGGTTTGCTCATTACCAGTCCTGGCTGACTCTCATAAGATGCCTCTTCTGGTGCCTCTCTATGCTTCCGCAATTGAATTTGCAATCTGTACACACATCAGCTACACAGAATATCTGCTTTGGGTCGAGGATGTGTCTGTGGAAAACAAGAGAGGAAAGCCAGTCACCCAAAGTAGCTGCCACAGAAACAGCAGTGCAGTGAGGCTCTGGTGTCTTGCCCAGTGGTCTAAACGCCCAAATCGGCCACCTGGCCCCTAGTTTCTTGCCTGGAGAACCTGGGAGCAGGGGTGATATGCAAAGTATTTACCAATACAGAGGGCCCCTGACCAATCAGAATGGACCTTGGCCACAGTGCTGGAGCACAGGGCACAGGGGGTGCTCAGAGCTGTGGCTCTTGACCACCTGGCAAGGAAGCATTTGAACAATTGACATTGCTATACAGGTGTGCTCTGGGTCTGTATCTGCTTTGCCAGTGGGAAGAGCCAGGGTGGAGCAGTAGCCTGTGAGGAGTCTGGGCTATAGGAAGGTGAGTTCTGTCTTCCTGTCACTCCTGAGTGCAGGCTCACCTTATGACAAGATGGTTGAAGGTTGGTAGAATTAAGTGGCCTTCAGGGCTTTTGAGCTGAGATGGTGTTAACAATGTTGGCTTCAGCATCAAACCATCCACTCGTGAGCTTTGGCATCTTAAATGAGTCTTTAATTTCTGATAAACTTGGTTGTTTGATCTGTAAAATGGGTGCAACACCCCAACAAGGGCTAGTATAGAAAGCATCTCACACAGGGTCCAGACACATGGCCTCGCCGAGAAAGGGGGAGCCGTTCCTTCTCCTCTTGGGGAAGTCTTGGTGTTCTTCCTATTAGGTGGGACCCCTTCCCCACTCTGGGGGTCAGCCGGGTGCAAGTCTTCCTTTGAAGCATCCACACTTGTTCTTTTGTTCATGCAGCAGGAGTTTATTAAGTGCCTACTCTGTGCCAAGCACAGTTCTAGTGGTCAGGAATGCCTCGGTGAACATGCCAGACAAGGCCCCTCTCCTCACAGAACATGAAGGGGAGGCAGAGAACATGGTAGACAGGCCTTTCCTCCCACTGCAAGCATGCAGTAATCCGGAGACCTGGATGCCACTAACACAACGGCAGTGGCAAAAAAACCCACCAGACAAAACCGAGCCCAGCCTGGAATCAGGAAAGGAAACTCTCAGAAGCCAGAAGCAAAAGAAAGACCTCACACCAGGGGCCTGAGAGGGGCTGCCATGGAAGCGGTCACAGAAATTCAGGAACTGAGTCTGGGTCAGTGGTTCCCAGCTGGGGCTACACCTCTGTGTGACCTGGTGAGCTTCAGGAGATGCCCGGGCCATACCCCAGACCAAGGAATCAGATTCCCTGAAGGCCAGACCTAGGTTTCAGGAGGTTTTAAAGCTCCTCCAGTGGTTCCAATGTCCAGCTGAGCTCATAAAGGTCTTTGGGGTGGGGCTAGGGGGTGGAGTTCTAAAGCCTGCACAAGCCAGGAAAGAGCCTCCTGGGTAAGGCAAGGCTCATGAAATTCTCTGAGTGGGTCAAATGGGGACTGGAAAAATTCCACCCACTAGCTCAGCTAATGGGTAAAAATGCTGGACATTTATCTGGAGCTGCAGGGGGTAAAGTGTCATCCTTGGGAAATTCAAAGCTGGCCTGTACCTGCTGAGAGCACCAGGGATATGGTCACATTGCAAGCCTGTTGCCAGCACCCCAGGCAGAGTCATCAACAATTACTTTGGAGGAGGGCCACTTCCACCTTCCAGGGCATAGGTGACCCCTGTGGAAAACAAGTACCCCTGGAACATCCTAGAAGTGGAGGTGGACCATAAACTAGTGAGCAGATATGTCATTGTTTCTCAGTTCTGACCGTGAGCCAGGAAGATGTCCGTGATCAGCTTCCAGAGATGTTTAAACTTGTGTGGAGTGTGGCCTGAGCACTGGGATCTTTTAGGAGGGTCCTTGGGGTTGAGAACTACAAAATAAATGAGATAATTTAGTTTATGAAGACCACCTAGCAGGATAATGTGTCGTGTAATAGAAAGTAATTAGCTGAGGGAGACAAGGAGCAGGCTCCCCAGGAGGTGACATTCAATTTGAAGCATGAAAGATGAGACAGAGAGGGAAGGCAAGGAGCTGGGAAGCAGATTTCCAGGCAGAGGGCGCAACAAGTGCAAAGGCCCTGACACTAGAATAACAGGGAGCCAGAGGGAGGAGGGCTCAAGGTCTTGTAAGCCATGGTAAGATGCTTGGAATTTTCTTGCAAGGATGAAGGAAAGCCACTGAGGGTTTAAGCAGGGCAATGGTGTGATCTGATGTTGGACAAGCAGAATCCTGAAAACTCACAGCTGCATACATTTCACTTGCTTTATACCACTGAGCATCCCCACTCCCTCTACCCAATTTCTCTATCTACCTTGTCCTGTATTTGCATTTTTGCAATAACTGCATAAAGGAGGTCGGTAGGTGTCTTCTCCATTTTACAGATGGAAAAATACCAGAGCCAAGTCTCATTCATGCCCTCTAGGTTCTTGAGTGGCAGGCTTTCAGATCATCTGGTACTCCTTCCAGAGCTCCTGACCAGAGATGGGGCATTTGTGAACACAAGATACAGCCAAGCAACCTGTCCCGCTGTTGTTATTACAGTGAGTTATATTCTTGCCCACCTAGGCCACTGGAATGAGAATGCAGTAAAACAGCTTGCCTCAGAGTGGTCTTCCCTGGAACACACAGCTTCTGTTAAGCATTCATGATTCTGACGGGCCAGTCATCCCTTCATTGACTTTGTCCAGCAGCTCCACCATTACAGTCTCATTTTAGAAAATAAAGACACTTGGAAACAAATTGAAAGGGCGTTTTCCTGCACCAACCCCATTTGACTTGCCTCAGCATGCTGAATGGAGGGCTGCACTCCCCCCATGACTGCCTGGACCCATCACTCTAGGGTCCATGTGGGTTGCATGGCAGTCCTCCACTTTTTGGCCATTGGATCCTCATTTTCTATTAATTCCTTAAGGGATGGCCGCTCATAGCTGGTTCTGGGTCAGTTTTGGAGAATGCTTTTAAATATTTAAAAATGTTGTCATGACTGGAGAACTTGAGGTCTTTGTTGGCATGGTTCTTGGAAGCCCACAGTAGCCCCATTTCCCATCCCCCAGGTTCTAGGGAAAGGTGGCTGAGGAAATGGTGAGGAAGACTGAGAAAGGCCACAAGGGACCTTTAGTGCTCTTTGTTGGGTGGTTCTATTGGGCTTTGGCTGCAGACAGCTAGGACGATTCTAGAGAAACTATGATCTGGGGCTGGATGGCTCAGTGGACTATATATGGAAATTGCCCTGTCACCTGGATTGCTAAGAACAGAAATTACATTACCCCCATCATAAAGCCCCAAACAACTAAGATATTGCTTCTAGATGGTAACCATGGAAACATCCCATTGTTGTGGATGACCTGCCACCAGAACAAAAGCCTGTTTTTTTCTGCTTCCATGAGGAGTGGCATATAGTGCTCCCCACTCCACACTCCCCTCCTTTCCTGCTGTCTCACAGCATTGCTCCAGGTCAGGGCTCAGGGACCCAAGAAGAAGGGATACCACTCAGCTCTCTGGGCTCACTCTGCTCCTGGTGAATGCCAAGGGAAGAGCCCTGAAGACAGGAAGCAAAGAATAGAGATAAAGATGAGAAGAGATGACATTCGGCAGTGTTGGTGAGAGACAGAGGCTGGGGCAGGCTGTCAGTGTCATTGGGGATAGCATTAAGGACATTCATGAGGCAGTACACATGTCTGGAGTCCCATCTGACTGGCATCAGTAAACATCCTCTTCCATTCATTCTGGAGAGGGAGCCTTAATTAGGCATGAAGAGATTTATCAAAAAGCAGCCCCCTGGAGTTGTTAGTCTCCCTGCCATCTGGAAGGATGGTTTCCTACCCTCAACAACAGCAGTGGGAATGACTGATGGGGTCCTATAACTCCACCTCCCAGGACTCGTAAAACCCAAATGGCTTTCGTCCTTCCCAGAAAGGAGTGAGATTTTGCCTGTGCTGATGGGGTTCATGCTGAGGTTTGTTGGGTCTCTGTGTCTAGGCCTCTGCATAGGGCTAGTTTTCAGTTTACAGTGATCCAACCACAAAGATGAACAGGAAAAGCCCTGAAGTGAGGATGAGAAGACCTGGATGAACATTCTACCAGGAAGCCGTGAGGCTTCATGCAGGTTTTTGGCCTCAGTTTTATGACCTATACAACGGGGATAATGATTTCTGCTTTGGTCCAACCCACATGATTTTTCAGAGGTTCTTGTGATATTATAGATGCAAAATGACTTCCTTAAGTATAAAGCCCTCTACAGGTATTAAGGATTTAATCCAACAAACATTTATTGAGCAACTGCTGTGTGCTATGCACCACGCCTAGTGCTGTGATGGATACAGATGAATAAAACACAGTCCCTGCCCTTGGCAAGCTTACAGTCTAAGAACAGTCAAAGGACAAGTGCACAAATAACTATAATACAAGGCAGAATATGGTAAGTGCCATGAGAAAGGTACAAATAAAGTGCTACGGTGGTTCAGCAGAGGGAGAGATCCCAGTGGTTGGTACATCAGGGAGGGCTTCATGAAGGACGTGGTTTCCGCATGGGCTTTGAAGGGAAGAAAAGGGAGCATTCCAGGGGATGGGGATAGCAAGACCAAAGGCACAGAGACAGTAAAACGCAGGCACCCTTTCCAGGAAAAACAACTCTCCTAGGCTGACCAGGGGAGGGTGTAAAGGAAGAATGGGGCCTTATCCGGTGGTCTGTAATGTCAGAATAGAGAATTGTACATTTGTTCACGGGCCGGGGAACTTTTAAAGGTTTGTGTGCAACGGGAGAGGAAAATCACTGTGCATGTTCAGGATGGACGGGACCACGTGTCAGTGTGCACAGAGGTAATCTGGGAGATGAGACTGTTGCTGAAATAGTCCAAGTGACAAAGAGTCGAGATTAGTGCTAGTGGGAAGAATTAGCAAGGCAGGACAGGGAAGAATAGTCGAAGATAACGTCAGCATCTCAGACTGGGTGGCTGACGGGATCACGGGTCTTTTACTAGAAAAAGGAGGGATTGTGGGGGAAGGGGACACAGATGATCCACTTGGCTTCTGACTTGTTGAGTTGATGGTGCTGCCGTGGGAGCAGATGGGGTGAGTGTCCCTCCAGCGGGTGTAATCCCAGCCTAGAGCTCAGGAGAGGGCTGGGTTGCAGAGAGGAGCTGGGGCAGGGGCAGCTTAGGAAGTTGCAGCCGGGTCTGAAGGCAGGTGTGAGGTTGCTGATGGAGAGTGCGGAGGGACTCAGGAGAGGACGCCAGTGTAAGGCATGTCCATGTGGTGGGACAAGGAGAAGAGAGGGGAATACTGGTCAGATCTACCTTGATTCCTTTGTCAATCAAAGTAGGGGTTTCAATAAATAAATAATAAATAAAAAAATACATACATATATAAATAAATACATGGTTGAGAGGGATTGGGAAAGAAGGAGGAAAAAAACACAAGAATGTGGCATTCTGGGTGCCGAGGGGCCAGGGAGCGTCTAGGAGGGGTCGCTGCAGAGCCAAGTGGCGTGGAGAGCTGGGAGGTGAGAGGGGCAATGTGGAGGCGCTGGGACGCTGCTGCCAGGCTGGGGGGAAGCCGAGGGGCATCAAGAGGAAGGGCAGTTGTGGGTGCTGGAGGCCCTTCCTGCGGCTAGTGGAGGAGGTAGGGAAGAGGCGGCAGGAGCCAGCCCAGGTGGAGTCAGTGTGTGCTGATGTGCAGAGGCAACAGAGATGGACGAGAGAGGGTGAGGGTGTACAGGAAACGTTAACTGGTGGGGATGACGTTTCTCAGAAAGGGGAAGGAGAAGAGATTTTCAGGGTAGATCTCATTTCAGAAGGCTCCGTCTCTTCCATGAAGTGGAATGACAGGGGCCTGTTGGGGCTTGAGGTGAATGGAGGTCGGAACCACTCGGGTGGCTGATGGCGGGCAGGCTGGGTATCTGACAGGTGGCAGGAGGTGACAGAGGGGTGCCTGTCAGCAGTGAGGGCTGGCTGAGGGTGGAGGCCCATTCTCCCGGGATGCCTGTGACCCTGCAGTTACAGCAGAGGATCTCGGGGCCGGGTACAGACTGTGTGACTCCCTGGGGCCACCCAACACCAGCTGGCCCACACCAGGAACTGCAGTGGAGGCTCAAATTGAACTCTGAATGGGCAGGGAAGGACAATTGGCCCAGATGGAGAAGGACAATGAGCCAGAGAAAGCCAAGGCCCCTGGAGCTCCGCCATCAAATGGCCAGGCCATTTTGGTAGTGCAGGACTCAAGCCGAGGAGGGGAACGGTGCACATGTTGATTGTCCTGGGGTCTCTAACCTTTCTCCAGAGAGAACCTGAAGGCAGGGTGGAAGGACTCCTTGCACTCCAGCTCATATCAGCTTCAATTTTAGGAGCCATGACTAAGATAGGCAGAAGGAAAACCATGTTCTGGTCCCCCAAGGAGTTCTGGCCCTTTGACTCCCCTGCAAAGGGATGGTGGGGTGCTGGCTTGGTGGATAGAGCTCAGGGCCAACTCCAGAACCTGACATGTAGGTTCTCCACAGTGCTTACCATGAAACATTCTGGAATCCAAGGCCTTGGTTAATCCACCAAGGCCCTGCTGGAAATTCTACCTGCTCCTCGGGGCACTTCAAGCTTTAGAAATTAAATGTCTTCTACGGTCTTTGAGATCCTCAAGATGAAAGGCTCTGGAGATGTATAAAATATGGTATTAATTATTTCCACCGCCTGTGAGGAGTCCGAAACCACTCAGTTCCCACAGAGGCTATTAGGGCTGTTGCTTTTTAAAATATTCATTTTATAACGCAAATCCCCAATCACAGACTTCAAGCAACAACAAGGGAAAATGCAGAGATATATCACCTTCCTCACGGTTTTGGGCTGGAGTGTTCTTGTGTAGGGTTAATGGTTCTGCCGCCTCCAATCCCTTCCGGTCAACCATTAATTTAGAGCCAAGGTCCTGTTCTGCATTGCCATTGATTAATTACATCTGGTCTCATATGCTTAGGAGCAGGTCTTGATTACTTTTCTTAACTCCCTTCACCTTCAAGATGGTAGTTTTTTACTTACCTTTCAAATATGTTTTAAAACACTGTTATTCATCAGGTGAAGGAATACGACTAACAAATTCAAGCTGGCTATTTCTCTATGTGAGACCTGTGATTCCAGCCCCTAAGTTGTAGGCCTCGAGCCCAGATTTCCCTGGGAGATTATGTCCACTATTTGGAACTGCATTTGGCTTTGGGTATTTTTTTTTTAATCTTAAATATTAATCTCAATAAGGGGAAAAGAATTTTGCAAAATTCTAAAATTGCTTCTGTGGGAAGAGGCGGGTACCTGGGGGTGGGGTGGACATTGGAACCTCTCCCTGCAGAGATGAAAACCTCAATGTCGGAGCTTGGGGTGGGCTAGTGTGACCATCAGGGTAGGAAAGTGACAAGAAAGTAACATTGACACAGCAGTCTGGCTGCAAAGGCCCCGCAGAGTGCAGAATGCAGAAGGCAAACAGAGAGTGGTTGCAGGGACATGGAGCTAGATGCTGAACATTCTTTCAGGTCTCACACTCTGGGGCTCTGTGAGGCACCCAAAAAGGCAATCATATGTATTTTAAGAAGGATGACATTTATCTTGACAGCACCCTTTCAAGCTCTCATTGTGGCTTCCCTGGTGACAGAGGGGACAGTACAGTCCCTCGTGACATTCTAACAGGGTGAGACAGAGACTAACCCAGAGGGTGAAATCCCAGGGTCTCTTCCTCCTCAGTGGACTCACATTGCTTTAAAAAACACCCAAAGCAGCTAGATTTTAGACACTCTCCTGCCTTATTCTAGGGTCAAGTGGGCCCTTAACAGGAGGTCTTGATTTTTCAAAAACATGATTCGGAACATTACTCCTCTTCATTGTCATCTGCTTGCTTCACCCAAAGTTCTTGGTGGCTCTTGCTAAGCCAGAACATGAACCATCCATTGTGTCTCCTCCAGCCTTCTCTCCATAGCCGTGGAGGCCTGTCTGAAACATGTGAGTCATTCGTGCTGTCCCTTAGGCAGTCAAACTCTACGTTCGTGGAACGAGGCCCTCTGTGCTGATGGGGCCTCTGCTGCTTGGTTTCCTTGTGCTCCTTTGCCCGGTTGAAGTCTCCAACCTCCCTCTCCTCCGTGAATGGCACCCACTTTAGACTGGGTCGAGTGTCCCCTCTGGGCCTCAGCTTTCTCCGAATCCACATATCCCAGAGGCTTGGGGCAGCTGACAACAGGTGGCTCGCCATTCATCCATGAGCCCAAAGATCCCTCCAAGCCAGGAGGCAGTTTGTCATCCAAAGTCATGGGACTGGCTTCTTTTCATGTCAAGTCCTTCCACCCCCAAAGATGGATTGAGTCTCAATCTGGTTCAGGTGGGTTCTCCACACCTTCTTCCTGTGGCCTATCTGCCTAATGCTAGATGAACACCACACAGTTATAAATACTCAGGTCAATATATATATGCAGGTATAGATATATATATTCTGGTCACTGTTTTACACTTTAACAAAGAAAACCACTAGCCTGCTTGTTCTATTGTTTGTGCCACCCCGACTCCCATCTGCCTGTGGTGTAGCTGGCAGGAAATGTGAGCCACTGAGTCCCATGGGGTGCCCACCCTACGTGGCCCCATCGCACTGGCCGACAGTCAGTTTCAAAGCCCCCTGCTCATGTAGGCTCTTGAGGGCCTTAAACTCCAAGGGCATGGTATGCGGGCTGGCCTGGGAGGTGTAGCCATACTTGAGGCTGTCATAATAGTGGTACTTGACTGGGTTCTGGTTCTGATCCAGCGGAAAGGGCCAGAAGCCGTAGAGGTAGATTTGTTTGCAGAAACGTGTGGCCAGGGTATACATCAAGAGGCCGGTGGTGGGTCTTTTGATGTGGACTTTGTTGGTCAGCCAGTATCTGGAAAAAAAAAAAAAAAAAAAAAAAGAAAAGAAACATGGGTCTGTGAGTCATCCTTTCCAGGAAGACAAAAATTTTATCCTGCCCAGCAGCCTGCCTTCTGCCACTCCAGGGACCGATCAAGCTACACATCCCTGGTTCCCTCCACAGAGGAGTGACAAGCACATGAAGCAACTGAACTGCTCCTTAGCCTGGATGCGGTCACAGACACGAGTTTATGAAATTCTCAAAACAAACCTGTTGTGGGTACAGATGCAGAAATGGGGCTCTGAGGTGAAAAATGGCTTGCCCAAGGTTACCTGGGTAGAAAGGGGCAGCACTTGACTTGAACTCAGGCCCGTGGACAGCTCAAGCAGGAGCTGGCAACCTTTTTCTGTAAGGGGCTAGATGATCAATAGTTTTGGCTTTTGGGCCACAACAATCCCAATACTACTTGACCGTTGTGTAGCTGTAGCATGAAAGGGCCACAGACAACACACATGGGTGTGGCCAGACTTGGCCCTTGAGCAGCAGTTTGCTGACCTCTGAGAAACCACTGGCTCTTGTGTGGTGCCTGCTGCCTTTCCAAGAGTCCCACAGGGCGTCCCCTCGCGGATCTGCATTCCTGATTCCATCCTTGCCTCCTGAGCGTCTTCAGATTTCCTTGCTGTCCCTGCTGCAGGACCCCCTCTCTGATACCCATCTCTGACCAAGGGTGACTACCCTGGGGGCCCTGGACACTGGTTTGCCATGCAAGGCTGGGTTCTGCCCACTCTCTTTCTTCTAAAGACTGCTCACTACATCTTGGTGTATCCACCTCTGAAACAGAGTCCCCGCTTCCTGCCTCAAGTCGTCTGTTAAAGGGTTACGAGAGGAAACAAAGAGAAGTGAAGAGAGAAGGGTGCAGGGTGCACCTTAGCCAAGAATGCAGTGAGGAAGAGACTATGTGCATTCCACAGACTAAGAAACATGCTCAGAGGGGGGAAGTAACTCAAGACCTGAGTTTTAGTGACAGTTTGGTCACCAACTATCTGTGTGCCTTTGAGCAAGTCACATCTCTCTGCTGAACCTAATGTTTCACATTTATGCAATGATGAGTCACAGTCTAGGTGATCTCCAAGATATCCTCCAGGTCTCAACATTCCAAGAAAATCTAGAACTTTCTCCCAAAGTGGGAAAACATCCATTCTATTTGTCATCCTCTTACGTTCCATCACAGTTATTCTCCCTCTGGGACTCAGAACGCATGCTGATGTGTGGTCTAATGTCTTTATTTCTAGTAAAAGCTTCCACTTACCCTAGGCTGAATCCCTTAAAAGGCAATGCTTATGGCTTGGTGGGAAGACATTTTCCTTACCACAAATTTCTTACCATTGTGTCTCTAGACCAGACACAATTCACATCTTTCTGTCCTCAAGCAAACTCCATGGTTTGCCCTCCCTAACTAAAGTGAAGGCCAGCATGGTTTCTGTTGACATCTCCACAGAGATGCATGTGACTGTATAATCAAACACACCCATTAAATTCAGGCCAGAAGTAAAGACATGTCAGAGAAAACATTTACATATTGCTGAAAGATGAAACTGTTTAATATGATTTAGTGCTTTTAGCTGAAAGGTTGGGGTGGGAGGGACAGGTTTTCTAGAAGCCCAAATACTTCTTTATTTTTGCAAAATTGTTCCTTTTGCAGCTCATAAAAGGAAACCCATAAAACATCCCACAGTGTCGACCTTAAATCCTTTTTGTTTGTGTGTTTGTAGGAGGTGTTAGCCTGTGAATCAGATGAGGTTATAGATTATCAATAACCTATGTAAGTTCAGTGAGTCACCTAATCATGTAACAATTGATGAAATAAAATGCATTTTGAGAATCCTCATTCTCACACCCCCCATCCCGACTATGGGGCTGGGGTGACTTGAATCTCCCCTTCGACATTGCTGATGAAGGCTGTGGTCCTAGGTGGCCAGAATCGGAGTGAACACGATTCTCCCGGGCACGACAGGAGCCTCCTTGGGTGGCCCCTAGACAACCGCGGTTGTTTCATAAGCCTGTCTTTCGAAGACCCCTTTCCTCGCACTTTCTCTGATTTCATCCTGTCTGGGCCAAGAAACTTCCTTGCAGCTGAATTTTTCAACTGGAAACCCAAGGGAGGGACAAAGGCAGACACAGAACAGGGCAATGGCTCTGGCTGGTAACTGCAAACACAGTGCAATTGAAAAATAACAGGAGCAAGTGTTTGTGGACACTGAGATCTTCGTCATTTCTTCCCTGTGCTCTCTCTCAGAAGTCTCTGCAGTGGCAGCCCATCACCGTGATCTGTCCTCCACCTAGTAGCCCCCCAGGCATTTCTCCGAAATCTCTCCCTGCTCCACATACAATCCAAGTTCCATAGTTCAGAAACTCTGCAAGACCTGGCCCGTGCCACCCTCCAGCTTCAGCTCCCACCAACACTTGCACCCTCCCCAGAAGGTCTGGCCCACAGCTACCATGGCACTGCGCTATTTCCTTGTGCCTCCTGCTACCAAGGCTCAGATTGAGATTCCTTTGAGCTTTTGCCCATCTCTGAGCTGTGCTAAGTTTGTCCCTCTGGGCACCCATGGAGACCTGTGCGCCAGGGGCTGCAGTGTCCATGCCTGCCTTACACACTGAGCTCTGGGGTCCTGGAAGGTTATCTCTCCTGCTGTCTCTGTGCTATGGCTCATGACGGCTGAAGAAGTGGATGGTTATTTCAGAATGGGAAAGGATGCTTCCCAGAAGAGATATATATTTTTGGGGCTTTTTCCTCTTATATTTGTGATTCCAGGGGAACACAGCCAATTTTCTATGGGGTGGGGTAGAGGGCTGGGGCGGGGTGGTACCAGTCCCCAAGAAGTTCTGGGAATGTGAGGGGCAGACTATGGGTGGGGTGTCCCACTGGCCACGTACAGAACTGGTGCCACTCTCAAGAACTCCCAAGATGCCTTGGAATTTTTAGGAGGCTGCGTTGTGATCAGGGTTATTAGATAACTGGCCCATGTCTCCACTTTGCTCTGAGCTCTGGGCTAAATGTCTCGTTTGAAAGGCCCATTTCATGCCCCTTTCTCTCTCTCCAAACCTTCCTAACCACACTGCACAGCTCCTCCCTTCCCTCTGTATCACCCAGCTGAGATCTGGCCCTCTCTCAGCATCTTACCCTCACCTACCACTTTACAGCGTGTCCTCGACTCAGGCCCACACTTCAGACCCAGGCTCCACACAGGGCACGAGGATTGAGCAACACACTCAGATGGCAAGGGGAAGAGCCAGGTCCTCCTTTCAGGCCTTCTGACCCCAAGTCCTTGTTCTTTCACCTTCATGAAGCAGACCCAACAGATAGGTGGGTGGCTAGGAATGTGGTTGGTCTAATGTGATTGTCCTGGGACTACCCCACACGGCCCTTTGCTTAGTCATCAGCTAATATGTAGGAGGCAGGAGGAATGGTGCTGGCTCGGGGATGTTTGATGCTGAGCTTGGGGTTTGTTGGATAAGGAGCCCTTGCCTAGACCACCTCGGCAGCATCTACGCTCAACGGAGCTAAGCTTGGGAGGCTTTGAGGGGCAAAGGCAGGAGGACTGTAAAGAGGAGAAGAATCTCAGAAGAGCAGCAGCTGATGCTGAGATCCTCTCACAGATCCCTGCAAAGTATTCATGCACCTTGGCTTAACTACGTCCCATAACAGGGAGCTCACCCCCTCCTAAACTAGCCCATTGCATTTTCAGCTCTAATGCAGAAGTTCTCAACCTACGCCACATACTGGAATCATCTGGAGCTTTAAAAGCTGCCTGGATCTCACTACCATGTGTGGCCTAGACACTGGGATTCTCACAGCCTCCTCCAGTAATTCAAATGTGCAGCTACGCCTAAGAACTCCTGTGATGACTGGTGGGTGGTTCTGCCAAAAGGACCCAAGAATGAGATATATTTAGAGAAAAAGAAGAAGTGTCAGGAATATAGTCATAGAGTTTTAAAGGTGATTGGGACTGGGGAGCTCAGTTAGCTCAGCAGCCTTGCAGGGCACGTGACTGAGCAAGCTGGGATTTGGGACATGTGTAAGAAAAACGAACACCCAGCCTCAGTGTTGTGAAGGCAGTGGGGAATGGTGAGGACTGGGGCATCGTGACGGGTAGCCAGTCTTACTGTTGTTGAGTATGGTGGTCCCAGATCTTCAGATTTTTTCTGTATTAGAAATCAGGATTTTTATGCAAATTCTCCAAATTTTTAAATGTTGGCAACTAATTAAAATTTTACTTTGAGAGGCTGAGGCGGGCGGATCACCTGAGGTCAGGAGTTGGCCTGGCCAACATGGTGAAACCCCGTCTCTACTAAAAATACAAAAATTAGTTGGGCGTGGAGGCATGCACCTGTAATCCCAGCTACTCAGGATGCTGAGGCAGGAGAATCGCTTGACCTGGGAGGCAGAGGTTGCAGTGAAACAAGACTGCGCCATTGCCCTCCAGTCTGGGTGACAAGAGCGAGACTCCATCTCAAAAACAAAACAAAACAACACCATGTGAGGCCTTACTGGGTGATCCCACAGGCCATGTCTGTGTGGTGAACGCATGGGCCTCCTAGACTGAACTTGTCCCCTTCTGTCATTTTAGAAAGGAAAACGCGGGAGTCCAGTGTGACTTGCTTGAGAAGAGACAAGCTTCTCAAACAGCTGGTTAGACAGAGTTTGGATAAAACACAGGCATCTGAGGCTCCTGGTTCTTGAGCATTTTTCACCCCATGGCAACTCCCCAGGCTGGGAATGAGCTGGCTGCAGCTGTGGGCTGACGTTACCCAGGGATCGTCGAGCCACCACGGTGTCCCTGCATGAAACATCACCCCGATGTTTACTTCCTAAGTGAACTCAAGCCCTAACACAGGCCAGATAAACAATGGTTTGTTTATTTTCTGATAGCAAGGTCTTAGTAGGGGAAGGCTTTCAGAAATGAATTTCTTTTCAGGCCATCAATGTTATGACCAGAAAGGGGGAGAGAGGAATCGAATCAGCGATGAAACGTCCAAGTGGCCCATAGGTGCTTCTGAGGTTACTCAGGCGTGTGCTGGGCCTCCACACGTGCTGGGTGCTCGCCTAGATGCCTTTCCCCACTGATCCCTGTGGTGAACTCTCTTTCCCACCTCCAGAAACTAAGCACGTGCATCCTGTCTTCCTGGAAATATTGCCTTTGTTCTACTGTCATCTCCCCAGTCAGACTGTTAACCACCTCCAGATGATTACCATCAGCTTTGTTTCTACTTCTCTTATTGTGCTTAGCAGCCCAGGCTGAAAATTCATTACTATGCTGTTTCATGGCACCTCCTCCTATCAAGGCTCAGATCAACACTCCTTTGCACTTTTGCCCTGTCTCTGGGCAGCTGTGGTCACCCGTGCACCAGTGTCCTTCCCTGGCTCCAGTCTTATGCATTGTGCACACCTGCCTTTCCCGCTGATCTGTGGGCTCCTGGGAAGGTCGTTGGTCCTGCTGCCTCTGTGCTGAGGGCCTCAAGAACTATGACTGCGGAAGAAGTGAATGGTCATTTTAGAGACGGAAGGGATGCTTTCCAGAAGGGGAACATGAAACTGTACTGTGGTCTCCCCAAGCGCAGGGACCACACCTTACACCCCTTTGTAGTAGGATTCAAAGGCATCTTGCTCAGTGCATGCTGGGTCCAAAGCACTGTTGCAGAGACGGCAGCACTCAACAAACATCTCCTGGCATCTCTGGTAACTGGGCTGGGGTCAAGTGACTAGTTCTGGCCCGATAGCCTGCGACAAAGACAATGTGTACTTTCTTGGTTGGTGTTCAAGAGCAGGCTCTCCCACTTCTTCTTCCCCTGCCTTGGAGAACTTCAAAGTCTCCTGGTCAGAAGATGTCAGCCTAAGATGGAAGAATCCTAGATCCCCGAATCCCTGATTGGAAGAGAGCCCCTGCCAGCTCACATCACAGTTTGCGAGTGAGTGAGAAATAAACTTCTGTTGTGCTAAAGTGCTGGAGTCTCAGGGTGTGTTACTGTAGCATAGCCTAGGATTGATTATCCTGACTTCCGTTGCACTCAGCAAACATTTGACTCAAATGGAATTGAAAAATGGGAAGATGTAGGTAAGAAGAAAGGAGGAAGCCAGCAGTGCACACAGCTTTGTAACTGCGGCCAGCTGGGACAGGAATAGAAATGCCCAACCTCTCAGATCTGGGGCCAGGCTTTTCACCCAGAATTGCTAACTGGAAAAGGTGTTAACAGCAAATGAGGCTCCGGAATGAATCCAGAGCTCAGTGGCACAGAGGGACCCACTTATTTCCGATTCTGCCTCCACGGGTAAACAAGAACTCCTGAGCGATGTCTGACAGGGACACGGGAGCGCCACTTAACGAGCAGCTTGTAATAGAAGCTGACTGAGTTATACAGGAACAAATCACTCTCGATTTCCTTTATCTCTCCTCCGTTGCTCTGGCCAATTTAGAGACTGTGTGCATGGCCGACTTGAAGACTATTCCTTTCCTTAGGATAACAGCTGGGTGTTAAAACACAAACTAATTAATTTTGCCTTCCCAAATGAGGTTAGCTGGGTGCATCCGGGACGTTGTATTGACAGTGCACCTTTAATATCCCAGTCTTGAGATTTTAATTAGAAGCCAAAGTAATCTCAAAGAAGGCAGTAATTATTTTTCAAATTGGCTACCCCAAATGCCATGACAATTAAGCACCGTATTTTATGAGCACGGACAGCAATCAATGAGGATTGCCAAAATCATCTCCAAAGCACATTTGTCTTTTTCCCTGGGTTCCTGGGCTGGGTATGTGGAAAGAATAGTGGCTGTCACTGTTGGAAAAGGGGACCAAAAGGGCTTCCTCCAAGAAGCTAAAAGCACTGTGGGATAAAGCTGATGATGTCCCTAAGGAGCAGGAATGCCTCACAGGTGGTCATCAAGGGAGACTCAGTGATGCTTTGTGAACGATCAGCAGCAAAGCTGGGAACAGAACTTTCGGGCTCCTGCTCTCCTGTCCTCTGCATTGGCAGCCTCAGCCGTGATCCAGGGGCCCTACAGCCCACGGCTGTCCTTTCTTTGGGAACACTGTTGAGGCCTCTGGTGTGCTGCAGGATATCTCAGAATGAGACACCATCTCTGCAGTATTGGAGAGCTGAGGACTTCGTCTTAGAATTTGGGGCTGTTGGGAAAGGCTGATCAAGGCATGGGGATGCTGAGTCTAATTCCAGATCCCCAGGCCTCCCTGCCTGCCTAAGCCAACACTCTTGCTCAAGTAAGCCAGGCTAGCCTCAAATATGGACATGCCACTGAAAACTCTCCAGTGACTCCTGGAGTCCACAGCATAAAACCTGATAGCCTCCATCGGGCTTGTGAGGCCCTTGGGATCTGGGCCTGCACATCTCTCCCAGTACCCAGTGTGCACAGCCACACTGCCACGAGGAACATCTTAGTTTCTTCCATGACACGTCCTATGTGGTCCTGGCTAGCAGTCCCTTCTTATGGTCTTGGCTTTGAAGCCACTTCCTGCAGGAAGCCTCCTGGACCTCCCTGGATGGTTTTGTGTCCGGTATGTTGTTCTTCCCCTATCAAGCACCTATCACGCTACACTGGAATTACTTGTTTACTTTTCTTTTCCTTCCCTACAGTTTTAAATTCTATAAGCAAATGTACTGACTTCCTGCTTCTGTATAACTCCAGATCCTAGCATGGCACATATATAAAGTGGGCACCTCACAAATCTTTAATAGAGCAGTGAATGAAAAGCAGCAAGCAGAGGCTAGAGGTTCATTCTGGGGACATTATCAGGAGAGATAAATGACCCCAGCTTCACTGCAAGCCCTTTTAGGCAGCTGCCAGGACTGCACATGGGAAAGGCAGGCTCACACCATCCTAGACAGCAAGTTACCAAAAGAAAGGAGAAAGGTATGGCACTGGGGGTTTTTCCTGCTACATGGCGGGCCCCGCCAGGAGTGGTGAGACTACTGCTCATGCCCAGGTATCATCTCTGTCCCCTGTGGCCCAGCAGGAGGTCCAGCAAGACCATTTCTTGGGGGCTTAAGCCTTCTGGCTGGATTCTGGAGTTTCAATCGATGCCACTCCAAAGAAACAAAATTATATTCAATCTCATTCATAATCAAAGGAATCCAATTTCAAACAACAATCAGATACCACTTTTCATTGGATTGGTAAATATAACTAATGTTGATAATACACCCATTGGTGAGGTTAAGAGAAAACAGGTATTTTCCATAATTGTAGGTGAGGATATGAATCGATACCTACCTCTAGGGAGGGTAATTGGCAGTAACTATAAAAATTAACAATGCAAATTGGCAAAGACTTCTGAAAAGCAAAACCTATAGATGTGCATATGTTTGCAGATATCAGCACAAGGGTGATCGATGTAGCATTGATTATACTGGCAAAAAATTGGAAACACCCTCAATGCCCGCCAATGGCTTCTGCTTACATAAATTATGGTCCAGACACACAGTGGACTGCCAGTCAGCTGTGAAGGAGAATGAGGTGGTGTGTGTCAATAGGGAATACTTTCCAGAATTTAACAAGGTGCAGTACTTAAACCACGTTCCGTAGGTGTAAAAAGGGGTTATTTTTGGAAGGATCCACACACAGAAAGCAGGTTTAACAGCTTGCTTCTGTGGAGGAGGACAGGGGGTGCGGAGCGGAGTTGGCTTTTTACTTTAAATCCTTTAATCCAATTTGGATGTCTTTTCACTATCTGCATTGCTATTTAAAAAAAAAATTGGAGAGAGAGAGAATCCATTACACACAAATGCCGGGAGCCACCTATGCCTTAATATCACAGACGTCCCTCCTTTTCTCTTTCATGGAGCACGCTTCCAAAAAGGTGATAGTTCACCTCACCCTCTGTCAACCGGAGGAGACTGGGACCAGCACAGGGAAGGGACCAGCCCTAGGGACACACTCTCTGGATTGCCATGGTCCTGTCTGGGAGGAGCCACCAGCAACCTGTGCTGGTCTCTCCCTATCTTTTTGCACCTTGCTTACTCTTCTCTCACCTTGGGCCCTCAAGTCTCTGCAGCAGGGCTGGCTTTGCTGACCTGGCCCCTCTGGCCCTGGCCAGAGGCAAGCTGAATCAGTGCCATCCTAAAGCCTTAATTAGGCTCCTGGTGCCTAATTAAGCACCAATTCACAGGCCTTGTCTGCACCCAGGGCTGCTTTCCTGCCTGAGGGGCCACCGTCTCTGTGGGTCGCAGCCTCCTTCGATGTTGTAATTAAATTAGAGCCATTCACCACCAGCTGCCTGAGGCCATACTCAATTGCCTCAGTGTCCTTCCACTCCATTGCTCACCTTCCTAGCCAACAGCCAGCCAGGGCTCCGTGCCACCCCACAGGCCAGCAGAGCCAGGGGCCCCTGGGTGAGCTGCTCAGGTTGGGGCAGCTGAAGCCCGCCTTGTTGGCACCAGAGGCCGGGCCCTGCCAGCTGCTGGTGAGAGCGGAAGGGCAGGCCTTCTGCTTGGGTTTCAGAAACATGCTCCCCTCTCCCTACTCACTGCCTCAGATGGGCAGAAATTTTGTAAGTCCACTGTGGGGGCAGAGACTCAGATGTGTTGAATGAGAGAATCTCAGAGTGGGAAGGGAGGCCATCTAACCCAGCTGTTATGGGTTGAATTTCTCATTTCCCCCAAACTCATATGTTGATGTTTTAACCCCCAGTACCTTGGAATGTGACTGTATTTGGAGGGAGGGTATTCACGGAAGTAATGAAGTTAAAATTAGGTCACTAGGGTGGGCCTTAATCCAATATGACTGATGTCCTTGCAAAGAGGGGGGATTTGGAAACAGGCATACAGGTAGAAGGCCATGGGAACAAGAAGATGGCGATCTGCAAGCCAAGGTGAGAGGCCTGGTGCAGATCCTTCCCTCACAGCCCTCAGATGGGACCAACCACGCTGAACCCTGAGTTTTGAACTTCCAGCCCCCAGAACTGCTAGATAATACATTCTGTCGGTTAAGCCACCCAGTCTGTGAGACGCTGTTACGGTAGCCCTGATTAGCGAGCTAATCTGCCAACTCTGTATGACAGGGATTTCCTCTCCACCACCTCAGTAATGGGGGGTTCGCTGCTGCCTGAATATCTCCAAAGATGCTGAATTCACCACCTCTTAAGAGGCAGCCAAGCCCATTTCAGATGATCTTATTTGTTGGAATATTCTTCCCAGCGTCCGGAAGGAATCTGGCTTCCTCCCCCAACCCTAGTTCTACACCTGGAGCCTCACAGAGCAAATCTATGAGCCAATGGAGGGCAGGAGCCTTGTTCTATTGACTTTTTTATTCCCCCAGCACAGGGCTGGAGCCTACTGGTGCCTAAAGAGTATTTGCTGAGTAAATAAAACTCTCTTGTTCCTTGGAACCTTCTCTCTCAAAACCTCTCAGCTTCCAAATTTCTCTGCCACTGTGGCCCCTCTCTGGCCTGGCACCTAAAGAAAAATGTGATTCTCTAAGTGGGATCTGGCCAGGCAGAGAAAAGCAAGGCCATCGCCAACCTCCCTGACTCTCAGAGATGCTATCCATTCATTGCTGTGACCCAAGACCATGTTATCCTTTTGAGCAACCACACACCCACTGATGGTTGGTGCTGTTCATCTCTCTGCACTTGTATACATGATTTGAACCTAAGTACAGAATCTTGCATTTGTCCATGTCAAACTTTTTCCTCTTTGGTTGAGTTGGTTCTAATTCTGAGACCCCAAATATGGAGAATCCCCCAAAAGTCACATCACCAGTGAATGTGCTAAGCAGACCACTGATGCTGTCATTTAAGTTATTGGTAAAAATGGGGACAGACACCAAGCCCCGTGGCTGGTTCAGAGAGGTCTCTCTGTGGTCCACATTAATCTAATTAGCATCCTTTGGGTGTCAATGGTCAGCACATAGTGGTTAAACTATCTGTCAAGGATACAAGGAGGTCACAGTGGAGATAGTAGAGATCACTGATGCCTATATACGTGGATTTGAATCCCAGCTTCCTTCCTCTCCTCATCTGCAATTTACAGAAGGGCAGGCCTTCTGCTTGGGTTTCAGAAACATGCTCCCCTTTCTCTGCTCACTGCCTCAGATAGGCAGAAATTTCATAAGTACACCGTGCGAGCAGAGACTCAGATGTGTTGAATGAGAGAATCTCAGCGTGGGAAGGGAGGCCATCTAACCCAGCTGTTACGGGTTGAATTTTCCCTTTCCCCCAGACTCATATGTTGATGTTCTGTAAATTCCAATTGGGCAATTTACTTTGCATTTCTGAGCCTTAATTTCCTTATGAGTAGAAAGGAGAGGAAAATAATATCTATCTTATCAGGTTGTTCTGAGAAGTCAACATTTGTCCCCTTCGATTCCCTAAACTGTCCGTCAAGTTGCTTTGTCAAGGTAGCTGACTTACGTCCAGATGTGAAATGACTATACTAATCCCTGGTCTACCTGTCTGCTGCCTGCCTCACAAAGGAACATCAGAACAGTGTGCCCAGGTATCTTCCAGTTCTACTTCTCCATCTTTAAGCATTCATCAGCCATGGGATTGGTAACCTATTTGAAACTCTAGCTTGGTGTTGACATTAAGCTCACCATTGTCCATCCTTTCCTCCTGTTTAGAAAATTGGGACAGAGATTGCCTGTCCCTGATTCCCTTCTCTAATTCTGCATGATTTGGAGAAGATCATGGCCAGCTGCTCAGTGGTCTGACCGCAAGTTTGCCCCTGGGAGGTTCATTGGTTTTGACTTTGTGGGTAGCAGTGGTTCTCAAACATAACGCTGTGCATGCAAATTACTTGGAGCACTGCTGAGACACAGATTGGTGGGCCCCACTCCTAGAGTTTCTGATTCACCAGGTCTGGGGTGGGCCTGAGAATGTGCGTCTCTAACAAGTTCCCAGTGATGCTGATGCTGCTGGTCTGGGGACCATGAATGTAAAGAACCACTGCTTTAGAGCAGTAAAGTGGGACTGTCAGTAAAGAACCCAAAGGCCCCGTTCCCCTATCCAAGTAAAAGACTCATCTTTGCTGAAAAGACAGATATAGGGGTTGAGGAGTTCATTACACATTTGCCCTTTGTAGCCCCTATGCCATCTGCTCCTAGCCCTTTGGTTCTTACTTGAAACATAAAAAGACTTTTCTGTTTTTCTTAATATTTTCATAAACTCAAACCCATCCTGGCCTTGGCCTTCCTGACATGATTCTCTAGGGTGCCATCACTATTTCCTAGTTATGTGTAATAGGGGCAAATGGATGGTGATCAGGAGCAGGGAGGAGACCTGGATCTGTCCCTAACCAGCCGTGGGATCTTGTGCAAGTTACTCCTTGAGGCTCAGTTTTCCTATCTTTAAAATGGGGATAATGGCAGTAGTCCTCTCATGACATGAGATAATGCTACTTGGCATGGCGTGCGGCATGTAAGCGTTCACTATGGTAGTATGTGCCCCTCAGCTGTTTTCCTACATGTCCTGTGGCAAGCCATCGAGAGCAGCATGCAGAATGTGTGACTGTATTTCTGAGCCTTTCTGAGTCACCACCCAAGGATGTCTGCTTTCCTTCTGAAAAATGCCTTTGTTGTGAAGGGGCAGCCAAACAAATTGAGAAGAGCGAAACCAAAGGCACATTCAAGGGCAAGGGCAACCTCAACTGGGGTTTCAGCACAACTGTGTCATGCCCAGGTGCTGGCTGGTGTTTGAGGGGATGCTGAGGAGCTCTGACCTTTCAGCTTGTTCTCCCCGATAAGGTGCTGCCCCAGGCTCTGAACAACTGCAGTGTGTGCACGTGTAGCCTTGATGCGTTGCTGCCTGCCGTGGTCTTCTAACACCTCTTCTCCAGTGTGGCAGCTCCTGGCCCACTCAGCTCATTGCCATCCCTGTCCCTAAATGAGTGCAAATTTCTGCTGCACCTGGTGCACCACATTAGAGCGAGAGAATGCAGTTCAGTTCCTGGTTGTGCCACTTAGATGCTGGGTGGCCTCATACAAATGACCTAACTTGTCTGAGCATCAAGTTCCTCTTTTGCAAAATGAAGGTAACAAGATGAAGGTAACAAGTTAACGTTTGTCCCCTTCAATTCCCTAAACTGTCCGTCAAGTCCAAGTTGCCCATGAAATGCTTTGTCAAGGTAGCTGACTTATGTCCAGATGTGAAATGATTATACTGATCCCTGGTCACTGCCCTAAAAGTGAATTCTCATTTGAAATTCCCACCAGCAAAGCAGAAGGGTTCCTATTTCTCCACATCCTCACCAACACTTGTTATTTTCTGTGTGTGTGTATGTGTGTTTACTAATAGCCATGCTAGAGGGTATGAAGTGATATCTCATTGATATGGTTTGGATCTGTGTCCCCACCAAATCTCATGTTGAATTTTGTAACCCCTAATGTTGGAGGTGGGACCTGGTGGGAGGTGATTAGATCATCAGGGACAGTTTCTTGTGAATGGGTTAGCACCATGCGGTGGATACTGTCCTCATGATAATGAGTGAGTTCTCATAAGATCTGGTTGTTGAAAAGTGTGCAGCACCTCCCTCTCTCTCTTGCTCCTGCCATGTGAGACGCCTCACTCTCCCTTTGCCTTCTGTCAGAACTGGAAGCTTCCTAAGGTCTCCCCAGAAGCTGAAGCCGCTATGATTCCTGGCGAGCCTGCAGAACTGTCAGCCAATTAAACCTCTTTTCTTTATAAATTACCCAATCTCAGGATTTCTTTATAGCAGTGTGAAAACAGACTAATACATTCATGTATTTAATTTGTATTTCCCTCATGATCAGCGGAGCATCTTGCCACGTACTTATTGGCCATTTGTATATTTTCTTTGGAGAAATGTCTATTCCAAGTCTTTTGCCCATTTTCGAATTGAGTTATTTGGGTTTTTTGTTGTTGAGCTGTAAGAGTTCTTCACATATCCTGGATGTTAATCCCTTATCAGGTATAGTATTTGTAAATCTTTTCTCTAATTATATGAGTGCCTTGATAGATTGTCCTTTGATGCACAAATGTTTTACATTTCTAGGTAGTCCAATTTATCTATTTTTTCTTTCATTGCCTGTGCTTTTGGTGTCATACTTAAAAGACCATTGCCAAACACAAGGTGATGAAAACCTTCTCCTAAGTTTTCTTCTAAGAGTGAATTTCTTCTAAGTGAAATGTACAATTAACAATGCTTAAAATGCAGACAACCTACAGAATGGGAGAAAATATTCACAAACTATGCATCCGACAAAGGTCTAATATCCAGAATCTATAGGGAACTTAAACAACTCAACAAGCAAAAGACAACCCCATTAAAAAATCGGCAAAAGACATGAACAGCCACTTCTCAAAAGAAGACAAATAAGTGGCCAACAAATACATGAAAAAATGCTGCTCACCATGAATCATCAGAGAAATGCAAATCAAAACCACAACGAGATACCATCTTATACCAGTCAGAATGGCTATTATTAAAAAGTCAAAAAACAACAGATGTTGGTGAGGATGTGGAGAAAAGAGAATGCTTATATATTGTTGGGATTGTAAATTAGTTCAGCCACTGTGAAAAGCTGTTTGGAGATTTTGCAAGGAAAGTAGAACTACTATTCCACCCAGCAATCCCATTACTGGATGAGTATCCAAAAGAAAACAAATCATTCTACCAAAAGACACATGCACTGGCATGTTCATAGCAGCACTATTCACAATAGCAAGGACATGGAATCAAACTAGGTGCCCAGAAGTGGTGGATTGGATAAAGAAAATGTGGTACATATACACCATGGAATACATCATGGACGCATGGTGTATAAACAATACCCATTCACAAGTAACTGTCCCTGATGATCTAATAACTAGAGGCCGTAATCCTAAGTGAATTAACACAGGAATAGAAAACCAAATGCCACATGTTCTCACTTATAAGTGGGAGCTAAACATTGGGTATTCATGGACATAAAGATGGCAACAGTAGACACTGGAGAAGAAGGGAATGGGGAAAGGGTTGAAAAACTGTTGGGTACTAAGTTTAGTGCCTGGGTGGTGGGATCGTTTGTATCACAAACCTCAGCATCATGCAATATACCCAGGTAACAAACTTGCAGAGGTACCCCCTGAATCTAAAATAAAAGTTGAAAAAGAAAAAAATCATTAAAATCATAAATTTTATGTTATGTATATTTTATCACAATAAAAGTTCATTCACACCCCCCCCCACATACCCTATAAACAGGGGGTTTATTGGGTAACACATCTTAACATAAGGAAACAAGATTATTTTGCAAACTGCAGTCCATTATTGGGACTTCAAGGTGAAGAACTCATGAGTGACTGGTTTAACTTAGTCCACTGCTCTGACTACTACAGAGTCCTGTCTTAAATTCAGCCTATTGCACTCTCCTCCTTGTGGCTCCAGCCTCTGGAACTCTTGAGTCCATAGGACAAGTCTTATGTCTTTCCCACATTGTAGCTCTCCAAGTGGCAGGTGGCAGCTGCCACAATCACAGTAGGCACGATTGATTAATTACATGTGTCTTCTGCGGGGCTCTGGGGGAAGGCAGGTGATACAACCAAGCCAGTCACGGAGCTGGGGTCTGGACCCTTTGGAGGTGTCGCTACTGCCAAAGCCCATGGTTTTGATGCTAGGCCACAGTGCCTCTTGGCCGGATTCCTCCTCAGCCTTCCTCTCTACAATCCCTTGGTCTTTTCTCGTGTGACTTTGTACTGCATCCCTCCCCAGCCCATTCCTCCACTTGCAGTGAACACCAGGTAAGGTCCCACCAAGGCAAGGGCTAATGAACATGCTCCCTAACTTTTCATTGGTGTCCTATTAGACCCAGCACCCTGCAGAGTCCAATGGCCCCACGGAGGGAGAGGATCATTGGCAGAATTCCATTCCAAGCCTCCTTTTCCCCTTCTTCTCCCCCTGCTAAAAGAAGAGGCTAATCTCCTGCAGTATTTCCTCCTGGGGTGGTCCTGCAGCTGAAGATGTTGCAGTCTCAGGATGAACAGCCTGTTTGTTTAAAGGGCTTATTACTGGTGCTTAATGCTGTTTTGACAGATGAAAGTGAGTCAGTTATAGCTGGAAATAGATCTGGCTGCATCAGTTTCTTCCAGGTGGTTGCCCATTCCCCATTCAAGGGACATTTTCTCTCCTTAACAAAGGGCAGTGTTTCTCCTCTTATCCCCAAGGACTCCAGAACCATCTCAAGAGTTTCCTCCTTCTAGGAAGGAACGATATTTAATATTTAAACAGTCCACGAGATGAGGGTTGCCACTGCAGACCTACTCTGACAGGGATGAAGTGAAAACATGGTCCTGAGAGACCAACCTCTAGGATAAAGTATGTAGCCCCATTGAGCCCCGTGTCCATATGGGGATCATTCTGGCTCCATCAGACACACATGTGGCTGCTCCTTATCGAATGTCTCTCTCGGGCTTTCTTGGGGGCAATGGGTTTTCCCTGTTGATACCCATCTTAATGAGACCAGTGTTGGTCACAGGCTTGGGTGACCACAGTCACCATGAGGACAAGAATCCTTTGTGGGTGGCTCAGAGGGCTTCCCAGGGTCACACTGAGTTATGCTAAGTCCCCAGTGAAGAGCATCCTGATGCCCCTCAGTCAGTGGGGAGTCTGTACACTGGGCTCCCTCACATCCCTGGTGATCTGCCATGTGGTTGGATGGGCAATTGGGTATAGGGCCTGACCCCAAGCTGGGAGGTCAGGAGTGTGGTAGGATATACATTTGTAACAGGCATCTCACACTTCGTATGCTCAAGAAAGAACTCCCTTCCACAATGCCCCCAAACATGCATGGGCTTCTCTAAGCTCTGCTATCACAGACTATGGCACTGCCACATTGTGCTTGTTTGCTTGGGCTTGTTTGCTCAAACTCTAATTCTAAGAGTCATCCTGGATTTTTCTCTTTCTCTCCCCCATTATGGTCCTTAAATAGAATCCACCGGCAAATCCTGCTGCCTTTACCTCAAAATTTTATAGCAAATCTGACCAACTCTTAGATATCCCATGCCATAATCCTAGCCTAAGCCATCATTATTTCCTGCCAGAGCTATTGCAGCAGCTTCCCAACAAATATTCCAGCTTTCATTCTTGCTGGAGGGATCTTTTAAAGACACAACTCAGGTCTTCTCCCTCACCTCCTTCACTGCCCCTCAAACTTAGAATCAAACCCAAACTCTTTACCATGGCCCACAAACATATGTGCATTCTGGCACCTGCCTCTCTCACCAACATCATCTCCTTCCCCTTTCTCCTTGCTCACTCTGTTTCAACCACATTTGTCTCTTGGTTGAACCTTGAACACACCCTCCTACCTCAAGGCCTTTGCACTTAAGGTTCCCTCCACCTGGAAGGTTCCTACCCCAGATCTGCACATGGCTGGTGCTGTTTTGTCCCTTGAGACTTAGCTCAAACCAACTTCTTTCTAGAGAAGAGTTTCCTGATAGCACCATTTAAAAGTATCTTATTTATTTGTTTACCTGTAATTTATCTTTCCCTATAAGAAAACTTAATTGTTAATGAGATCTGAGATCTTTATTTTATTCACTACTGTGTCTTAGTGTATAGAACAGAGCCTAGCGCATAGTAAGCACTCAATAAATATATGCAGAATGAATGTGTGTAAGTTTTAAAACATGTACACAAATTGGCACTTTCCCATTGAGAGGCAGGATCTATGTCTACTCCCCTTGATTCTAAGCTAATTTAATGACTAGGTGACTAGTAGATGATAATAGAAGTGACACTATGTGGTCTAAAAATGTGATGCAGCTTCTGCCTTGGTCTCTGGGCCACTTGTGCTAGAGCCTGGGCCACCATGTACACGTCTGACCACTCTAAGGCTACTATGCTGTGAGGAAGCCCAATCTAGCCCATGCGGAGAGATCATTTGGAGAAACCCTAATATAACATAAAGAGAGAGAGACGCATGGTCAACCCCAGCTGCTTCAGCCCCCCACTGTTTTACTTCTAGCCAGTCTGACTGCACCTGACCTAAGAACCATCCAGGTGAGCCCTTCTCAGATTCTTAGCCAACAGAAATTGTAAACAATATAAAATGGATGTTGTTGTTTTTTTAAGCCACTAAGTTATGAGATGATTTTTACTGCAATAGATAACTGGAAGAGAGTGAATGAATGATTAATATTAAACTATTTTTCTTGTGGCTGCTATCATGGGCACTAGTAAATTCCTAGCCAATTTACTGATCCAAGTGCCAGGGAGATCTATGCCAGGTCACATGAATGGGAGGAAACAAGGAGGAGATTGGGAACTACTACTTGTTTGGCTGGGGCTGTTTAAGAATGCCATCCAGGTTGACATGGACTTCTTGATAGGAATAGTTCAGACCCTCCTCAACATTTCCTATTTGTTTTCCTTAATTCTTGGAATCTCTTTCCTGGAATTAGAGATCCAGGCCTAACCAGGAAAATCCTTACCTAATTAGTTACATCAAAACTCTTCTTAAAGAGAGTGGATTCCATTGCTTTAACTCTCCCTATCTCTTTCATATTGCCTAGGTAAAGTTCCCCTCCATCTTAGAGAGAAGACCTTGTGGACAAAAACATATCCTAAGAGACGCTCCTTTGAAGATCTCAGCCCAATCAGTAAGATGTGCTCTGTAGAGTTAGAGAATATTGCACTGAGACATAAAGATAGCGATGATTGATGATAACATTAAATGTTTCTACCGCAATTTTACTACGCATTTCACGTACATTATCTCATTTAGTCTTCACATCCTCCAATGTTACCATTCCCACTCATATTTCCCTGAAGAGGCAACTAAAGTTTAAAGAGATTAAGGTGAATTACTTGAAGTCAAGTGCATCTGATCCTGATTTTCTTGAAAATCACACACCTGGGATGGTATGTGACTTGCCAGCCGCCATCTCTCCTCCCATGTTCATGGCGTCTGTTCCCATTGAGCCTCAAGACAGCCCCACCCCCAAGATCATTCTCAACTCAGTTCCCTAGGCAGGCACTACCCATTGGTCAAAATTGGCATGCCAGATGAAACCCACTTGCCAAACCCCCTCATCTCTCAAGGAATGGAGGCTCAGAAAGGCCAGGTGACTTGCTGAGGCCATCCAGCAAATGAGTGGTGGAGCTGGGATGGAAATGCACCTGGGAAAGGGATACTGCCTACCAAGAATCTCCCACACTTAGTGACGGTCCTACTGGCCTGTAGGGAGGCCGCTCACCCGCGAACGGCGTGCAGCAGGCGCAGCGAGGGGTATGCAGTGCGCACGTTGACGTGGTGCTTCAGGATAAGCTCGTTGACCCACTCAACACGCTCCTTGCCGCCCCGGGCCATGAAGGCAGGGATCCACAGGATGCTGCCATTGAGGCTGTGCAGCCGTTGCAGCAGCTTCTCCCGCCACGTGGCATTGACCAAGTCCTCAAAGGCCCGCTGGATGACCGAGGGGTTCATGGTTACCAGGTCTGTCTTGAGCCCCACATCCCGGGCATACTCCTGTACTGGGGCCAGGTTGCACCTGCCGGAGAAAAAGGCAACATGATCCTTTTGGGAAAGCTGAGACCCCTTCCTCTGTTTAACTCGATCCCATCCTTTGCCTCTCCTTGCTTCTTTCTCATCCCCAAACAAAGACCCAGGGCATCTCTCCACACTCACAGGCCCCTCCCATCATCCTTTCTCCTCCTTTTTCTGCCACAAAGGTTTACTGAGCTCATATCGTGTACCTAGAACTTTGCTAGACCCTGTGGATGTAAATGCCTGTCTTCTGGAGTTCAGGATCTAGGAGAGGAGGAAAGAAGCAAGTAAGCCAGTCCTCAGTCCACAAGATGATGATGCTGTTGCCAAGAGTGATCTGGCCCATTAGGTGACAGAGTGAGGGATCTGAAGGCAGACTCCCAGGCTCTAAACTGGCTTGGACACTTTCTACCTGTGTGAGTCTGGGAAACTTGCTCAACCTCTCTGTGCTTCCTGAGACCTTCCATTACTTTAGCTTTGATAGAGATCACAACAGCATCCCTCCCAAGGATTAAAAGAATTGCTATATGCCCAGTACTTAGAACACTACTGGATATAATAAGAGCTTGATAAATGCTAACTGTTGTCATCGCTCTTATGGGAAGGAGGAGTGTCAGGTGGACTTCCCTGAGGTGGTGACCACTAAGCAGAAGTCTGTTAGTGGACAAGGTACACGAAAAGAGTGCTTCTCCAGTTTGCCAAGTCAGAAGAATCACCCCAGGCGCTCGTTAAAAATATAGATTCCCGGGTTCCTCGGCTGGAGATTCTGATTCAGCAGGTGAGCCTAAGCATCGATACCTATTTTTCACAAGCTCTTTCTCTTCAGGTAGTGTTATAGCCAAGCAGGTTAGGAATACCATGCTAGAGCACTGTAGGCACAAGAAAGGCATCCAAGGGCAGAGAGGTGAGAAACAGCATGGGTGTTTAGGGAAAGGCAAGTGATCTGGTCCGACTGGAGCATATTGTGTGGAGGAGATGGGCTTGGGGAGGCAAGCAGAGTGAGATATCAAAGGACCTGTGTGCCAGGGACTTGGTTCTGGGGGCAATAGGGAGCCACTGAGGGTTCTGGAGCAGGAGAGTGACAGGGACGGTTTAGAATTTTTGGCCACGATTAGAAAGCAATGAGATGAAGTTGCAGTATGGATTGGAGGGGATGGATTTGGGTACTGGAGGGCAAACTAAGAGGCCACTGCAAACTCATGCTGACAATCAGGCTGCCTGGGTGAGCAGCCTCTGCTATTTAACCTGATGACTTCCTTGTGGGAGACCCGGCCTGGGTGTGCACACCTGGGTTTCCTGCCTGTGCCTAGGACTGGGATGGCAGCAGAGGGCACTGCAGGGGAGGTCTGGCTGCTGTCTGGCACAGAGGATTTAATGGTGGAAAAGCCCTTTGACCAGTGAAAATAAGTCTGAGAAATCCAGTTAAGAGTGTAAAAATAGAGGCTGGAGACATGAAGACAAGGGATCACAGGTCATCATCAAACGAAGAAATCCAGGAACGTACCATTTATCCTCCCTTTAAGCAAGGACTTTCCTTTTTCAACAACTGGGGAGAAAAAGTGGGTTAATCAGAAAGAAAACTAATATTTTTTGAGCCCCTGGTGTGTGCCAGGCACTGACTGGTCCTTTAACATAGGTCAGCTCTTTTTTTTTGTGACCCAGTTTTAATCACCCTCCTGTCACACAGGAGGAAATGGAGGCCCAGTGTGTGAGAATCAACTTGCTCAAAGGCCCAGAGCTAGAAAGGGAACCACCAGGAGTCAAGATCAGGTATATTTGACTCAAAGAGCCTGTTTGTGATTTCAGACTGAACCCCCTAAAATATCGCGTCTTCCCATCCCTGCCCCTAGGCCTTGCTATCTTTGACTGTGGCTAAACATTGTAAGCAGATAGGATTGCCCTGGGTCAATTCACCTTCAGGAGCCCTTGCCACAGGCCTCAGAGACTGAGGTGTCACTGCAGCACATCAGCCAGTGTGGGGCTGCTCAGGTCTCAGTTACTTTTATTGCCTTGAAACCCGGCTGAGCCAGGCTTCCAAGGCCTTCCTGAGGGTCCTGGGGCCAATTCTAGGCCAAGCTCTGGGTCCTGAGAGCAGGGCCAAGTGGACTCCATGCAGTTCAGATGGATTGGGATCAACCATGGGGCAGGAGGGGCTGTGAAAGAGGCAAGGAGAATGAAGGGGATGTGGCACCTGACCCTGGCGGCTCACGAGGGGTGAAGCAGGAAATATACTCCCAACTGCAATGTTGGCCAGTCTGGGATGCCACCTCCTGGAAGATGCTGTGGGTAATGGGAACAGGGGCTGTGAGCTCCTTGCAGGCAGGCCCCAGCCCTCATTCAGTATAGGACTCGGCTCACAGTAAGGGCTCCATACCTTACCTGCAGAGACACAAGAAGAGGCAGGCAGGGATGGGCTGTGAAGTCCAAGCTTTTCCAATGACTGTGCCTCAGTGAGGATGCTGGGTTGGGGGAGCTCTGCCCTAAGTGGACTGTCTAGATGTCTTCCTTCCCCACCAGATGTGAATTGCTTCATTTAGTTGAGAAGGAGGCGTTAGGAAGGGGTTCAATCTGATCTAGGCTCTCTTTTGTCCAACAGTAGGCCAGGCCTCCCAAAGTGACTTCTGAATGGGCTTGGCTCCGGGCAGGAGAGGAGTCACTCCCTTCCAGAAACCACCACACCTACAGGTACACATTGAAGAGTACTCTGCAGGGTGAGAGAGGCAGCTTGGGCAGGCTCTGGAGGCCAACTACCTGGTCCACTGCCTGGCTCCAGCCCTCACTAGCTGTGTGGCATTTGCCTCTCTCTGCCTCAATTTCCTCACTGCAAAGCCAGGATAAAAACAGAGTGCTCCATACAGAATAGCTGTGATAATTAAATAAGTTAATAAACATGAAGTACATAGAATAGCACCTGGTACGTTCAAAGTGGCCAAAAAATGGTAAGGGATAACAGTGATGATGATGTGGTTTATCCATGGAAGGGCATTTGTTCATCAGATTCTCCCTATGGAAGAAGTGCGTGTGTGTGTGTGTGTGTGTGTGTGTGTGTGTGTGTGTGTGTGCATGCACAGTGAAGTTCTGTTCCCCAAACATCTGGGAACTTATACTCTGCACACACGATCCCAGATAGACACAGTGTCCTCAGCCTGGCACTGCAGGATCGTGGGGCTCTCCTGGGCCCAGCCCCTCAGACATTCCCAGCAGCACTTTGTGCAGCTGACGCTTGCTCGAGCAGTGCCCTGCCGGATCCATGCATCTGCCTTCTTGCTTCCACACCCCTCTTCATGCTGTTTCCTCCTCCTCACCACTTTTACTGGTCAAAGGCAAGCCACACTCCAATGCCGCTTCTGCCGGAAGCCTGCCCTGGACTCCCTAGGAGGCACTAGGTTTTGCAAGATAGTTGCATTTTGCGTGCCATGTGTCCCACCAGGACTTACAAGCTTGTGTTCCCCACACAGAGTTTTCTGAGAGGGGGTGAGGTCTTGCGTGTCTTTGTGTTTCTCCCACAGAGGAGGTAGGGTGAATGGATTGAAGACTTGGATTGGCAGAGACAGAAACCTCCATCAGGAGCTTCACAGCGTCTGCCATTCTAGTAAAGCCACATGGAGGCCCTCCTCTGGCCTGGCACAGCCTTGTACGGGAGGCCCAGAGATGGACACAGCCACTCTGCTCTGGAGGAGCTCACCACCTGGGGGTGAGGTGGGTGGAGTGGAGACAGAGTCCATGGGGAATTAACACTTAGTGTCCCTGTTGTGTGGGAGAAACCATCCCAGGCGTATTCACATATGCCGTCTCATTTAATGCTTGCAACATCATGCTCTCTTTACTGTTAGTGTGGGGCTTTGGCCTGTAGGATATTACCAAGTGCAGGGCACGGAATAAACTCCTAGATGGGAAGAACCCAGAGGAATAGTCCCAGTGGGGTGGAGGAGCTAGTGCCACTGCTGGGTATCGTATCCCTGATGTCAAACGTAAGTCTGTACCCAGTGGGGCTGCATAATCTTGTCCTAAAACACCCCACAGGTCCACCCCAGAGACACGTGGGAGTTTCAGAGCCATGGACATAGGCCTAAGGGACAAAGAACAACTGCACTTTTTGAAGTAACTTGCTCCTTGGCATTTTTGACCCATATTTTCCAAGTATGTGTGGATGGGTGTGGACGTGACTCCCAGGAGTGAGGCAGAGCACACCCCGGCTGCACCTGTCCACGTGCAGTCACACACCAGCAGTGGCGTCCCCTGGGGTGCTTGTTAGAAATGCTGAGTTGCCGGCTGTACCCTAGACCCCAAAACTCTGCATGTCAATAGGCCCAGGTGACTCCTGTCCATGGTAAAGTCTGAGAAGCACTGGGCTGGAGTACAGACTGTATTCATAATGAAAGAACCTCAAGGCCAGCCAGTCCACCCAGCCCGTTTTACAGATGATAAAACTGAGGCCCAGAAAGGCAGAGAGATACACTCCAAGTCATGTGACAAATGGGTAGCAGAGCCAAGGCACAGCTTTGGACTGTGCGCTGCTGACTATGTGAAAGGGTCCCAAAAGGAAACTGTGGCCAAAATCTGCCTCTCAAAATTCCTGGGTCAGGACTTCATGGGATGTGTAAAGCTCACTGTGGGGACTCATGACTTGTGACAATGGAAGAGGCATGGCTTACATGTGTGGCTTTAGGTCAGACAGCCACCCCCCCGCCTCCCCCGGATACTGCTGGGCACTCCTGGAGAGGATCCGACCCCTTGGGAGGAGGCCTTGGCCCCCACACACTCACCTTTAACACCCACCCGTCACTCCTTCTCTGGCTTCCAAGCAGACAGACCAGCCACTCTTCCTTCTTCCTTTCCCCTCCCCTCACCCTCCCTCCACCAGTCTTTAGGCTAAAGGGCTTTGAAAAACAGGGACTGAGCTGTTGGATATGCCAGGCCCAGACAGACCTGGCAGAGGATGACAAAACTCTGGCTGCCAGGCTGTGGTAGCGTTTCAATCCCAGAGGATGCAAGAGTAAAGACACGGTTTCTTCCCATGTCCCAAGGTTTAGGGAACTCTACAATAGGGCGGCTTCCCAAAGCCCCAGGACAAGGCTGTCTTTGCCTCGAGTTGGTCCCCACAGAAATATGAGAACGTTTGCGGTTCTGCCAGGGCTGGGGAGCCGGCTGGAATGAAACTCGAGGCTCCGCGTGCCCTAATTTTGACCTGGAGACAGCAAAGCCTTGTTTCCATGACTGTAGTGGGTTGGGGGTCAGGTGGCAGGGCCATGGGCAACCTTGTGTGCAAATGTCCCAGGCAACTGGAAAATGAGAGCTGATATTTTAGAGAAAATTATAGTCAGGTACAAAATTCAAGTTTCTCTGTTACTCCCGCACTTCCCAGATTTTGAGAACAGGGTAATAAAGTCACTAGTAGGGCACCCCCTCCCAAGACACTTACAAAGAGTTTTGCAAACTTGAACCAACAACTGGCCAGCCCAGGAGATTTTCTTACCAACCTTTTGTACCAGGCTCTACCTCAGGGGATCAGCAAACTTTTTCTATAAAGCGCCAGATAATGACATTTTTGGCTTTGCAGGTGATATGATCTCTCTGTTCTGACTCTGCAATTTCACCCAATGATTTAACCGTGCCCAGTGACTCCACTCTCCTTGTAGTGAGACAACAGCCATCAATGATATGAAAACGGGTGGCATGGCTGTGTTCCAACCAAACTTTAGGCTGCAGGCCAGCATCTGCCCATCTTTGCTGTGGATCAGTGATTCTCAACCTTGGCTGTAAATCAGAATGACCTGGGCTCCCTGGGTTGCCCGCACCCCTGCCACGCCTCTCTTCCCCTCTCCTCCATTGATTTAATTGGTTTGAGGTACATTCTGGACATTGGAGGCGAAGCTCCCCAAGTGATTCTGATGAGCAGTCATGGTTGAGAGCAGGGGCTAACTCCACCAGGGCCTCTTGTTTCAATCTCTTGGGACAGCTGGCAATGCTCCACTGAAACACAGCCTGCCCGCCGCTCTGGCCCCAGAGTGCCTGCTGGGGCATGTTACCTGATGACGAAGCTGTGGGCGTCAATCTCCTGCCCACAGCCGCTGTTCAGCAAGACCCCCGAGTTGCCCACGATGGCACAAGTCCCAAAGTGCTTATTCTTCAGTGGCGAAGTCCTGGGGAGGAGCTCGTAGAGGTTCTGGGACACATTCATGGTGCTGTCTCGATCGAAGATGTAATGAATAATATCTCCAGGCTTCAGGGTTCCCTTTAGGACAGAAATGTCCTTTTCAGCATCCAAGAACTTTAAAATCTGCTTCCTGTGAAAACCAAACATGCGTGAGGAAATTCTCCAGGGTGCCAGCTGCCCTTTGCCAGCCCAGCTTTTCCTATCCAGGGTCGCCCTGCACGGTGGCTGCAGCCCAGCAAACACGCAGAGTATGATGAGAGTTCAGATGCCCTCGAGAACAGGTTCCAGCCAGGGATGGCCAGAAGTGGCCCAGAAGCAACTACGGTGGTGGCCAATATGGGGGTTGCCAGGGTTACACCCTCTTCCTTTGCTAGGTGAAAACTGCCCTGTGGAATCACTCCATTAGGGCTGGAGTGAGCTCCTCACAGCGGGCCCCAGAAGGAAGGGTGGCCCACCACCCCAGTTTCCCCAGGACTGCCTGGCTCGGGCACTGAAAGCCCCATGTCCCTGAAAGCCCCACAGTCTGGGGCACACCCAGACATTTGGTGAGCTTACATTACCCTCACTGTCTTAGGGGGATTTAGGGCCATCCTCTGACGGGGATGAAAATGAATGGCTAGGTATAAAATCTAAGTTTCTCTGCTACTCCCACACTTCCTAGATTTTGAAAAAAGGATAATAAATTTGTCTAGGAGCAGAAAGCCAGATGACAGGCGCCTCTCACTCCTTACCGGCCCATTTTCTTCCACGGAAGGTTTCTCTGGGCACATTGCAAAGGGGCTTTCTGGGGGGATGGATACTGTGACGTGTATGGACACTTTCTGCCTTTGAGACACCGAGAGGATGGCCTGCCATCCTGCAAGCTGGTGCACGTCCCCTTGCTGCCCCCTCTAGTTGCTCTCTAGTGTTTATGGGGGGATTGTAAACATGGACCCCTCCCAGTTCCACGGAGAAGGGCTCCTTTGCATTGTTTCAGAACGAAGCACAGCTCTCTAGGCTCTGGGGTAGCTTTGATTTAGAGAAAGTTCTCGAATCGAATCATCTAGCAAAGCACAAAGAAAGGATGGAGTGGGGTCAGGAAAGGGATGGGTGTCCTCTTAGCCTTGCCAGAAAAGCTTTACCTGAAACACACAGCCTTCTGCCAAGGAACCTGAAAATCCTAGCTGGGCGTTTTACTTAAAGAACTGTTTAAATCACCTGAGATTTTAAGAAATGATTCCAGTCATAAAGAGAAAGGAATTGAGTACCTAGATAAGCTGAAATTAATTTCATATTCTGCTGCAAATTCCTATCTAGAACAGATACAAAGATGCTGTTCTTTGTTTTCAGAGTCCTGGAGGTGCAGAATTTTCATGCACTTTGCAAATGTTAGACGCTGCAGGATGGCTGTCCCATCTCGCAGATAGTAACACTGAGGCCTGAAAGCCTGCTGGATTTGAGATGTTCACAACCTATGGTACGTTCCAGTAGGCTGCACATTCAGTCACTTGGGGAACCTTTAAGTATTTCAAATTTCCAGGCTGACATGTGAGAAATCTTGATTCTGAGAGTGGCCCAGTTCTCAGCATTGCTCTCAAAAGCTCCCCGGGTGACTTTAATGTGTGTCCAGGTTCAAGAGCCTCCGGGGCAGCCAGGGGGCAGCTAGAACACTTGGTAAGCTCGGCGCGTCTCATCCATTGTCTTTCCTTATTGATGACCTGCCTCTCTTGCTATCATGTAGGGGAAACCACCCTTGTAGAATAATTCGTATCTGTTGATGGAAAACAGAGGCACTGTTTTTATTTACTGTGCTTTACCAAGGATTATATGACTTGACAAACTAATATAGTTGGGAAATTGCTGAAACCTTTGCAATTACTTACCCCAAAGCATTTAAAAACAAAGAGAGCCCCTAGAAAGCCCATAAATAAACACCTCTGTGAGTGAATTAATTTCTAACTAATTAGGAGAAATTACCATCAATTATTAAACATCATTCCAAATCACTTGCAGAATCTTTTATTATGAATAATCTTGGTGATTAATTGAAGCTGGAGGAAATTCTTTTTCCCTCTGGGTAAAGGTACATTGTTGCTGCTGAAGGGACTGTGTTTGCAGGGTCTTTATGAAGGACACAGTCTCGTCTTCACAAGGGGTGGGGGAGCTATTTCTCTATCCAATGGTTGGAGAAAGGGACATTGGGGACCATGGGTAGCTCATACTGGCAGGAGGATTTCATTCACGGTGGTGTAGTGGGGAGAATGGTGACCCCCTCTAAAATATATGCCCACCTCCTAACCCCTGGAACCTGTGAATGTGACCACATGTCAAAAGAACATCTTTGCGGATGTAATTAACTTAAGGATCTGGAGATTAGATCCTGGATTACCCGGGTGGGCCTTAAATACAATGACAGGTGTCCTTATAGGAGACAGAAGAGAAGAAGATAGAAGCACAGAGGAGAGGGCCACGTGAAGATGGAGGCAGGGGTTGGAGTTCTGCGGCCACCAGAGGCTGGAAGCGGTGAGAGGATGGGTTCTCCCTTGGAGCCTGCAAGGGGGTGCTCAGAATTGTGGCATCCAGAGCGGTGCAAGAATACATTTCTGTTGTTTTAGGCCGCCGCCGCGTTGTTGGTAATTTGTTACAGCAGCCCTAGGGAGCTAATGCAGTTGGGGTTGCTGACTCCACGGTGTCCCTGATCAAAGGGGGCGGTTGTTAGGGCTTCGTGAGGGGGATGGAGGGCCACCAGGAGGCCTCTGAAGAGGCGGTAAGTAAGGAGTGCAGGGTGGCAGGGAGTCAGCTACTTCAGATGGTTTCTCAGCTGCTAGGTCCCCAGAGCTCATGCCTTTCAATTCCCCAGCCCTGCACAGGTCCCAAAACTAAGCTTCAAGAACTAGGGTGCAGAGGCATTTCCATTTTGACAGTGAGCCTTGTGGAGGGGGCAACTCCCTGCTCTGCGTGGTGACATTGCTGATGGCTGCTCTCCTCTCTCCCCATGGTATGGCCTGGGATGGTCATCAATCATTCCCCGTCTGGTCCTGCCTATCGTCCCAACCTTACCCCCCTATTCCTTGCCTCCTGCTTCCTGCTCCTGCAGCACTGTCCACAAGCACCAGATCACAGACTCTGTGCATGTGGGAAGCAGCTTGGTGAACTCCTAATTATCCTTCAAAACCCACTGCTCCTGGCCAGCCTTTCCTGGCCAGTCTTCTTAGTCCTCTTACAAAATGAATGACTCTTTGCTCAGTATGGCCTGTTTATTTCCATCTATGTGTAAGATGCAGCACCACCTCATGTGTATGTCATACCACGCTGTCTTGTCTTTGCTTATATTCATGTCCCCAGCTAGCATGTCTGATTCATGCTAGCACTCCTGGGGCCCCAGCACGATGCCTGGAACTGAATAGTTGGATTATACTTACAAATATTTGCTGGGTCAATCATGGCTATATCTAAGCTAAGTGTCCAAAATGCCGAAGTTGTAATTCCTTCTCTACGGTTCCCCATTGCCACTACCCGATGATGGCTGCAGTGCTCTGAAAACATCACTCTGCACAGATCAGGACGAGAGCTGCTCTCTGGCTAAACAGACCTCTGCTTTCTGGTCGGGTGTCATGTCAGTTCCTGGGTTCTCCGGATGCCCCTATGGCTCTAGGTTTTCATTTTCACGTTGTTAGGGAGGAGCAGCCTATACAAGCCCAAGGGCTGAGAGAGGGAGCAGCTCTCCAGGAACAAACTGGAGGACTGTCACTGAAAGGGGATGTGACTCCCAGGCAGACCCCAACAAGTAAGGACTCTTTATGCCTGGGAAGAAGCAGCCACCTGTGGCCTCCACTGCCCAGATTCCCTCTGCTGCTGACCCGAGACTCAAGGTTTGCTGCTTCTAAGCCCAGAACCTCAGCGGGTGTTCCTGCCACCGCCTGGCCCCAGTCGCCACATACACAGGCTGGGCCGCTAGGCTTGTCTCGGGTTTTTATTTCCGATTGATCACTTACAGATGAAACCTGCCTCAGTGGGAGGTAAACATTTTATTTCTATCCTGACTTCTTTAGATGACGAAGAGAAGCAATTTGCCCGTGTATGCTCAAGACCAAGTCTACCTCTTGTCCTGTAGGTAATTACCAGTACCTGATCCTCAGAGAGAGCGTCTGGTTATGTCTCCATTTGGACGAGGCTGGCTGGATGTTGTGCTTGATGCTTTCATTACTTCTGTCAACAACAGCTGGTGATGAGGAGCCGTTTATTACAACTTCAGCTCTGGAAGGGAAAAAAAAAGAAAGAGGGTAGACATGATGTGTTAGCAAGCCGACGACAAGTCTAATAGTTTTGTTTTTGCACGGGCTTGAATGTAAACTTCTCCAGAAGAGCAAAATTGCAGTTATTACCTGAGAAGAGAAGGAAGTCTATTTATCTTCCAGTAATGCAGAAACTCTGTCCCTAAGGTATAACCTACATACATTGTTGGAGACAGGAAGGAGGGTGATAAACTTATTCTTCTTCCCCTGCCCCTAGTGATTTTTTTTTTCCTGGTAAAACCTGGCAGTCACTGTCAGAAGAGTAATATTTCTTATTCAAGCTATTGATAAGAAACTCTACAAGGAGCAGGTATATGAGCAACAAAGTATCAAATGATGGTCTTACAAACTTAAAAGAGAAAACAAGAACTCATACCAGGACAATGTCATTGTAGCCTGTGGCTTCACCCTCCTCCCTGGCAGCCCCATCACTCTCTTGAGGGTAATTCTGAGATATGCTCCTTGAAACATGGACCTTGTTACACAGTCATCTGTGCTGTGTCTGTCCCTCATAGGAGACTGTACGCAAGGGATCTCCCACATTCATTTTATATTCCCTAATGGTCTAACATAGCGGGTGCTCAATAAATAAGTATTGTTGAATTTAGGTTGAAATCGATCCCGGGGGAGCCTGGAGTGAATGAAAGAACTGGCTGGCTTTATACTCCCTGGGTGGATCACGATTCTGGGTAAACACCCCCTTTCCATCTGACTCAGGAACACCAGGTATTATAGGACTGGCTTGAATTCAGAGGCTTGAAATCTATGCTAGTAGGTTTCTATAAACTAGGTTACAATTCTATCTTTAAAGGCAGTGTAAGAGTTAGCCGCCTTGCTGCTGGATGCACACAGATATATGTGGGTCACATCCAAAGTTCTTTTTGTCTGTGCTGACAGCAGATTCTCCCAGTTAGAATAAGTGGATTTGTGATGACACATTCTGAAGCTTTAAAGAGTTCAAACCAAACATCTGTGTCCTCTCCATTTATCTTGAAACAGCCAAGTTAAAAAAGATGAAATCCTGTTAGTGAGTTCTAAACCTGACGCTCCACTTTGACTTTTTTCTTTTTTTTTTTTTGGAGACAGAGGCGGGCTCTGTCACCCAGGCTGGGGTGCAGTGGCATGATCTCAGCTCACTGCAACCTCCACCACCCAGGCTCAAGCAATTCTCCTGCCTCAGCCTCCTGAGTAGCTGGGATTACAGGCGAATGCCACCACACCCGGCTAATTTTTGTATTTTAGTAAAGATGGGGTTTCGCCCGTTGTCCAGGCTGGTCTTGAACTCCTGACCTCAGGAGATTTGCCTGCCTCGGTCTCCCAAAGTGCTGAGATTACAGGCATGAGCCACCATGCTTGGCCCTAGTTTGACTTTTGCAGGTAGAGAAGGACTTCGCTTAGGGGTGCATGTTGTCTCACACATTCCCTTCATGCACCCACCTCCATTCCTCAATATTTCTGACTCCTTCTGGCTGATATCACTTCTCTTGAATTCAAATATCTGTAACTTCGCAGAGGATAGAGAATTGACGAGTTTTGAGTAAGGCAGAGGAACTCTTCCTAGCATGCAGGCTTAAGGGAGCTTCCGAGAGGGTACACAAGACCTAACCCTTTGGAATTTTTACTGTTTTCATGCAAGACGCATTGGGTACAGTGGAAAGATTTCATAAGCTGTGTGACTGTGGGTCGATAGCTTTACTTCTCTGAGCCACAGATTGCCCATTTATAGAAACAAGGTGTAGAAGAGACAGATATCCATCTCGTGAGGTTCTGGAATTTTCAAAGGAGCACCGATGTTTCTGGCATGCCCCACTGGCTGCCACCTCATGAGGCTCTAGCAGGAGCTGGCATTGCTGCATCCTTTTGATACCACCAACTTCTATGCAGAACACAGGCAGGGGCACTGACCTCAGCGACACAGAATTAGCGGCTTCACCCCAGCTTTGTTGAAGCCTACCTCAGTAGGCACGCACAACAGAAATGCTTTAATGTTGGTGATGAGGAGTTATCGCACTAAGAGGCTAGCTGATGTACTCATCAGAAATCAGTGACTGGGCTCTGGTGTCTCATGGCTTAAGGTGGGTTCAGTCTAGGGTGATGCTTCTCAGAGACTGGGGCACACTGGATGGCACTAGGCTCAGGAAAGAAGGAGCTGCAGAGGAATTCTCCCGTGGATGCCTGGAGAGGAGACCTGCTTGGAAACCTCCAGGAAAGGTTTCCAGACTTCTCCTGGACACAAGATGGCAAAGGCTGGAAAGGGAGAGAGATAAATGCTGGTGTGGGTAATGGTAAAATTCCATTTCTCTCTCCACTTTCCAGGGTGAATTTGGATGGCATCCTGCATAGCCCATCATGGTCTTAAGGGATTTTAACCCTGGCTCAGTTGCAGTCTACCTGGGGGACTTGGAAAAGTCACTTCAGATTTCTAGACTCTGCCTTCTTATCTGTAAAATAAAGGGGATGGATTAGAAAACTCCAGGGTCCACCTCGGTTCACAGGTTTTACATGCTGTGTGCTGCACAAACACGTTGGATTGGTGAGTTGAGATATTCCTTTTCAATGAATGTGTTCTCCTGTTTCCAGTCCCCTCCCCCATTTCCAAAATGACACTAGAGGTACATTTCAGGCTTAAGTTGCTTCACCTCCCGACTCCTGAACTTCACTCCCAGTGACCTTCTTTTCATGCCACAGATATATCCACAGTAGTAGTAACAAGCATCAAATAAGTACCTTTAACATATCAGGTGTTGGGTTAGATAGATTCTTACATTTGGTGGTTCTAATCCTTAAACACTCCTCAAAGAAGACACTGCAGTATTATTCTAATTAAATGGGGAAGCCAAGGCTCAGAGGGGTAAAATCACTTGCCTAAGGTCCTGGCTAACAAACACTGGGGCTGAGGCCAGGGCTGCCTGGCTCCCAGGACTGTTTTTTTCCACTTCTCATACTTGATTCATATGAGACTGTGGCCCCTCAAGCTACCACGAGGACTTGGGCTTCAGGGGCAGGATCTTCTTTCTCCGAAATGGGGCATCATTTCATAATAGAACAGAGAGAGACTTAGGAGCACATGGCCTTCTTTCTTTCTGCCATATTCACATTTCACCTGGCATAACACGGGCTTCATTCATAGCTCCAAGGTGGCTAAGAGGTCATTAGAGAGCTAGAAGCAATGATGTCAGGGACAGAGGGAACAGTTTCTCGAGTCAGTCATGCAGGGTCAGGGACAGATGTACTTCACAGGTCTCATACAGAAAAGAGATCTAAAAAAATATGGAAGGGCAAATAATAGACAATCCTCTGCATCATATGGACCTCTTATTCCCACAATGACCAAAATAGGATATTTAGAAAGAAAAACAAGGCCCTGATTTTGAGTAGTAGCCTTTGTTTACATCATATAACTTGGCACTTCCTTCCACCGCTCCTTAAGCTCAAGCTTATAAGACTACAGGCCATAGCTATGGGGCACTTGTCATTGATGGAGAATGGGGACTCAGAAGCATGGTGTAGCCACAGCCAGGGGCAAGCCTGGGTTTGCACGCTGTCCTGCATCAAGCTGTCCCCTGGCAATGACTGTTCTGCACCATTACATGAAGTAGAAACACTCTTTCAGAATTTGGAGCGTACGTTCAATAATCAGGGTTAACATTACTGTGTTGACTCCCTAAATATTTTAAGAGGTCTCAGCAAAGTTCCCGAATGCTTTATTTTCCATCTTAACCTCCTGGACGAGCCATTTACCACAATGAAATTGAGTGAAAATGCTGGTTCCCTTCAGGGTCTCCATTGCTCAGCAAACATGCAAGTTTGAGTAAGCTCATTGGTGTCCCAGGCATTACAAAGTGGGTGGGCTGTTTTCCAGAAAGTGACTCTTACCCATCTGCATTTTCCATCTCTGCAGCCTCTAGACCTTGGGCCATTTCATGTGATCTTCCATTGACAGCTCCCCCCAAAAGTGATTAGGGAAATGCAAAGCCAAAGTGAAACGAAACAGATCTATTTGCTAAGTAAGAAGGGCACCATCCAGCAAAGAAGAGAAGCAGATTAATAGCTGCCTTACAGCAAAAACAAATGAACACAAAATCTAATTTACAAACCTATTAGATTTGCTATGTAAGCTGTTCACAGCTGATCTGATTGTACCTCTGCCTCCCGAATTCCTGCAAGACAAAGGAAATGCATTATTTATAAACCCAGCTCATCTTTGCAAAGCCCTCTTCAATTGCCAGGAGATCCCATAGCCCACCTGGAAAACTACAGAGGGTGGAAGAGACCTCATTCTGGACTCTGCAGAATGGGCAAAGTCCTGGCCCCAGACACAGCCCAAACATTTTATAGGGTGTGGACCTCCTGGATCCTCCCCTGCCCCTCTCCCCACTTGAATATTGTTCCAATTAGTAAGTAGCCAGGTTCTCACTTGAGTCCCTCATTTAAGACGGCAAATAAACTCCCTGGGGATTAGTCTCCCCTGGTGAATCCCACAGGATAGCATAATTCAACATGACTCAGCATCTGCTCTAGCATGACTCAGCACCTGCTGGCTGTCTTCTCTTGCTTTCACTCACATGTAGTGAGCTGTTGTCCATTGCATTCTCTCCAACTTTGAGACACCAGAAATTCAACAGAGGCAGCAAGGTTAACTCAACAGTGCCTCCATTCAAATGTGATCATAATTTGCTCTTTGGTGGCAAAAGAAATAGTATTAAGTGGTGTCACTCTACTGGGAAGTGAGAAGGGTGTATGTGAGTCATGAGATCCCTTGTTTCTTCCTCTGTAGGATAGGCTTTTGAAGTAAAAGCACTCTAAGGCCCTTTCCAGCCCTACACTCTATTCGGTTCTGCCAAATCCCATTCTGTCTGGCCACACGGTTTCATCCCGCTTCACTGACACGTTAGGTTGGTGGATGGATAAATACATGTGCCTCGAGTACCCCCGACTTTTTGCCCTGCATGTTTTAGAAAAGTTGTATGTGAGATTCATTATTTTTATTAATTAAAAAATGATGGGGTATGCGGTGTGGGGAGGTACTGGGTGCTTTTCTCAGTTTTTAAAGTTCCATTTAGCCTTTCAGTCAAGGTGTTGGCAGACTCCAAATAAATAATGAAAATCACTGGGGAAGCTGTGTATTGAAAGGAACCTTGTCATTAAATGAGAACACTGCGGGGGGAGTTATTGCCTATCCACACACTGGTTTTAAGTCTGGATTTTGTATCTGATTTCCTTAGGATTCACATACTTGTATATATCACATTGTATGTGCACACACATGTGTGTGCATGCTTATATGTACATGTCTTTTCCAGATAAATTGTCTTTTCAACATTATTTGGCAACAGGCTATATTTACCCATTTCATAGGCAGATAATTAGACAACAGAAAGGGTATTATGACCTACCCAGTGTCTCACTTTAGTTCTCCCTTAAGGTTCCAGATTTCATCACTACAAATCTAGTTCTCAATTACAAAGAGTAACGTTGGGTCTTCTCATTTTAATTTGATGCCTAATATTTATTTTTGTCCCTCCCCATTTCCCCTTGGAAATATCTCCTTGGGATAACAGTGTTCTTGTACTTCCATGTTGGGGTCCGGGAATGTCGGGTCAGCTCCTGTCCTGTAACCCACATTCACCTGGGTTGGGTCCCAAGGGCATTGCTGGATGTGCTATGGCCCGTGGGTCACTGTCTGCTCACATGCCACCAGCTGGACCCTAACCCTCAAAATCAGCCCTCCTTGGGGAGAGGGGAGACCTGCTTGGCCAGACATTAAGTCAAGCAGAGTTAATTCTATAAATAGTTTGGAATAGTTGGTTAATGATCTGGTGGTTGAGTTGGGAGAAAAACAGTTGAGTGTCACCTTACTCTAGACAGAAAAAACATCACGGATTTAACAAATGTTTCCCAAACTTTAGTAATTTTCAGATCCCTATCACCAGTTTTTCATATTTATCAACTGCACACACTATTATCCACTTAAATTTTAAAACAGACCCATCTTTAAAAACTTACCCTTACCCTAAGCAATATCCTCTGTGAAATCAGGTTTCATGTCTTGATTACAAAGTTATTTAAAAAAACCCTACACTACCATTAACACAAGAATATTTATCAATAGAATTCCTAAGATAATCTTACATTATCACGACGAGTACCAGGAGTACCTGCACCACCCTCTGAGAAAGACAGAATGAAACAGTTAATTTTTGTTTGTTTGTTTGTTTGTTTTTTTGAGACCGAGTCTCCCTTCATTGCCCAGGCTGGAGTGCAGTGGCGTGATTGTGCATCACTGCAAACTCCGCCTCCTGGGTTCAAGTGATTCTCGTGCCTCAGCCTCCAAATAGCTGGGATTACAGGCACCTGCCATTACGCCCAGGTAATTTTTGTATTTTTAGTAGAGACAGGGTTTTGCCATGTTGATCAGGCTAATCTCAAACTCTCGGCTTCAGGTGATCTGCCCACCTCGGCCTCCCAAAGTGCTGGGATTACAGGGAGGAGCTACTGCACCCAGCCAGCCTGGCCAAAACAGTTGAATATTTAAAGAAAGAAACCCACAAGAAACTGGTAAGAACAGGGAAGAGGATATTCATCAAATCTTTGATGAGGGCTGAGGAGTGTATGGGAGGGACTTTTTAAATTTAGAAGAAAAAGAAGAAATTACAAAAAAAAATGTCGACAGATTTAACTTTATAAAAATCCAAAATTTGGCTTGTACTAAAAGCAAACCTCAACAAACCCAAACCCAGTTTCTTTCATGAAATCTAAGGTGGCTCTGGATGAGGATACCAATATATCTAAGTTATTTTTTTCTTATTCATTCAACAAAAATATTTTGAGTAATATTATATTTCAGGCTTTGGCCAAGCTAGATATATATAGTCCCCGTGCTCATGGAGTATAGCTTAAGAGACAGTAGGGATGCATTAATCTTTGCTTTTTTTTTTTTTTTTTTTTGCCAAGTGCCCAACCTCCCACCAGCTTTATTAAGACATAATAGACAAACAAACTGTGTATATATACTATGCGTAACATGATGTTTTGATATCTGTATACATTGTGAAATAATTAAATGAAGCTAACTAACATATCCATCACCTCATACACTTACTTTTTCTCTTTGAGATGGAGTCTCGCTCTGTCACCCAGGCTGGACAGTGCAGTGGCCTGATCTCGGCTCACTACAACCTCCACCTCCTGGGTTCAAGCAATTCTCCTGCTTCAGCATCCCGAGTAGTTGGAGTTACAGGCGCCTGCCATCACGCCCGGCTAATTTTTGTATTTTTAGTAGAGATGGGGTTTCACCATGTTGGCCAGGTTGATCAACTCCTGACCCCCTGACCTCAGATGATCTGCCTGCCTTGGCTTCCCAAAGTGCTGGGATTACAAGCGTGAGCCATCACGCCCAGCCCACACTTACCATTTTTTGTGTTAAGAACATATAAGATCTACTTTCTTAGCAATTTCAAGTACACAATACAGTATTATTAACTGTAGTTATGCTGTACAGACCTCTAGAACTTATTTCTTCTGTCTGAAACTTTGTACACTTTGCCCAATACCTCCCCTCCTCACAGCCCCACCCCCAGTCCCTGAGAGCCAGGCTTGGAGGAGACCAAATGCCTTGAAATAGCTGGCTCCAGCCTTTCTCTTTTCCTGCTTCCAGCCAGGTCCTGGAGAACTCAAATCTCGCTGATTTGGGATACTACAAATCCATGCACTTTTCCATGCCAGTTCTTACTCAAACTCAGGGGTTCTCAACCTCGGCACTCGATATTTTGGTGGAGATATTTCTTTGCCGGTGAACTCTTGTTTTCTGCCTGGTGCCTCTCAGAAGAGGAGTCCCCCATGCCTCACCCCCGGTTCCACCAGCCCGCCCATCCACATCATCTTTCCATGCAAACCCCCTAACCCAGCATCGGTGCCTCCCTTCCAAACCATCCCAATTTTCAATTCTCAGCTGCCATTTCCTTTTTTCCCAAAGCACTCAATTCTATTATAGCATTTGCCACCTTCTTCTCATATTTAATTACTTCATGGAATCACAGATGGGAGGCTTTACAAAATCTTGTCATTTACACAATTCGAACTCCTCCTCATACAGTCAAAGAGACCAAGGCCTGGGGATTTGTGTGCCAGGTTCGGCTTCCTCCTGCGGGCCACAATAAAGTGTAAGTCCTCGAGGGGGCGTGTTAACCATGTCTTTTATTTTCTGTATTCCAATGCTTTGACATCTGGGGCTTTTCTGACGCTGGAGAAACTGCCCCTCTCAGGGTTAGCTGATTTCTAGAGACAGCAAACGACTCTTCCTGGGAACGCTCCTGTCAAATTGCAATCTTGAATCCACACCCCTACTGTCTCATTTACTGGGGGCCAGTATTCCCCTGCCCTGTTGTAGGGCCAGGTATTCCCCTACCCTAAGTACCCTAGGCTAGGTACCATGCAACTAGCGACAGCTCCCACCCTGCAGAACCTGCTGAAGTTACTCAAACTAGCCAATCCTAGACCCGCTCTGGCCCCACCGTGCCCATTCTTTCCTGTGCAAACCACAATAAAGGCTCTTACCAGTTTCCCCCTCCTCCTGCCTCCAGACCAACCCCAGTATCTCCTTGTGTAGAGCCCCGTGATGTGAGTATAACAAACTATCTTCTTCGTGGCAGTCATTGCTTCATCTGTTGGCCTTGACATACCTAAATAATAACAGAACCTACAGTAAAACAGAATAGAAGCCTGTCTTGTTCACTTTCTTAGCCTTGCACAGTGCTTTGCCCCATTGGGACTCAGTGAAGCAAATCAGGCTTCAAGAGTTAAGTGGGGGTTTTCTTCTGAAGTCGTCCCTGCAGTTTATGTGCTGTGTTCCCGCACATTATTTACACTTGTACAAGACACTGCTTCACCTCTCAGTTGTTCATAGAACAGGGAAGACCATCATTCAAAGAAACTGGGCTGCAGATGTTTGGCTCTAGAATAAATCACAGGAATTGATGAGGGATTTGTTTTTTCTAATTAGGTTTTGCCTCAAATGTTATTAAAATAAGCTTATATTCCTTGCGATGGGGAACTGCTGATACCTGCCTGGTTGATTGATAGAAGATGATCGGGTAAGAAACATTTGCTAAAGATAATTTATAGAGTGCTGAAATTGTAGAAACAGAGATGCTTAGATCATCCAAATGAGAAAACATATGGGGATACTTTTTGCACACTATAAAGAACTCTATAGAATAAGGTATAATACTAGTAATAACAACTGTCCATTTGACCCTGCTGCAATATTCTCAACCATTGTAAGGGTAGAGGTTGACGACTTTAAAGGTCTACATTTTAGAATGTCAATTTTTACTTTGGGAGGCTGAGGCGGGTGGATCACCTGAGGTCAGGAGTTTGAGACCAGCCTGGCCAACATGGTGGAATCCCATCTGTACTAAAAATACAAAAATTAGCCAGGTGTGATGGCGTGCGCCTGTAGTCCCAGCTACTCAAGAGGCTGAGGCAGGAGAATCACTGGAACCCAGGAGGCAGAGGTTGCAGTGAGCTGAGATTGCCACTGCACTCCAGCCTGGGTGACAGAGCAAGACTCTGTCTCAAAAAAAAAAAAAAAGAATGTCAAACTTTTTTTCACACTATGGACATTATATTCTCTCCTAGTAGAATGTACACAGTAAACGATGATAGTAAATAAAAATGGTATGTTAAAAAAATGTAAAACAAAATCACACCACACACAGCTGGATCTATTCTAGTGAAAAGCAAGTAGCAAAACCTGAAAACTGCATTTTTGCTTAGCCTCTTCATCCAAGCCCAATTGTTTATTTTATTTCATTTTTAATAATTTTTTAATTGAAAATTCGTAACTGTGTATATTTATGGGGTACATCATGATATTTTGATATATACACCAAGCCCAGTTATTTATAGGTAAGGTAAGGTCCAGTATGTTGGAATCTCCTAGCTGTGTTAGAATTTCCCACGTTTACAGTTTCTCATGGGAGAGTCAGGCTCAGAATGAACTTTCAGGAGCTGACAATTTTAATTAAGAGTCTAGAGCCAACTTAAACAGGTGATTAGTCTTGAGAATAGAAGATGAAACTAAAGCACAATTCATGAATTTGCAGATGGTTCTTCCTTCACATTTTTGGGAGACTAATGAATGCTTTTTTTCAATTTGCACATTAAAGCCACTGAGGTTTATGCCTGTTGACAGCCCAGGAACAAACTCCAAGGACACATGGACAGGAGAAAAGTGAGGAACAGGATGACTTGGGGTCAGTCACATGACTACAACCAGGGCTGTCAACAGTGGTCGAAGGCTTTTAAGAATTCTTCCCCTGAATCCCAATTTTTAAAATCGTGGTAAAATACGTATAACATGAAATTTACCATCTGCTATGCTTGAATGTTTCGTTCCCTTCAAAATTTATGGTCGAATAGGAAAATTAACCTCCAATGCAACAGTGTTAGGAGGTGGGGCCTAATGGCAGGTGTTTAGGTCTAAGGGCTCTGCCCATATGAATGGGTTAATGCCACTATAAAGAGGACTTTTGGGAGTGGGTTCACTTTTTTCTGCCATTCTGTCACGTGAGGACACAGTGGTCCTCCCCTTTGGAGGAGGCAGTGCTCAACGTGCCATCTTGCAAGCAAAGAGACTGGGCCCTGCCCTGCTGGTGCCTTGCTCTTGGACTTCTCAGCCTCCGGAACTATGAGAAATAAATTTGTTCTGTCTAAGTTGCCTAGCCTGTGATACTCTGTCATAGCAAAACAAAATGGACTAAGACAACATCTTAACCATTTGTTTTTAAGATGGAGTCTTGCTCCATAGCCCAGGCTGGAGTATAGGGGCGTGATCTCAGCTCACTGCACCCTCCACTTCCCAGGTTTAAGTGATTCTCCTGTCTCAGCCTCCTGAGTACCTGGGATTACATGAGCCACTGCGCCTGGCCCATCTTAACCATTTTTAAGTGTACAGTTGGGTGGTGTTAAATACATTCATAATGTGCAAGCATCATCTGTCTCCAGAACTTTTGCATCATCTAAAGAGAAACTCTGCACTCTTTGGGCAAAAACTCTCCCTCTTTACATCTTTTCCCCATAACTACTATCTACTTCCTATCTTTATGAATTTGCCTATTTTAGCTATTTTATGTAAGTAGAACCACACACTATTTGTTCTTTTGTGTCTGGCTTCTGTCACTTAGCATATGTTTTCAAGGTCTCATCTGACACACAGCACGTATCAGAAGATGTGGCATTTGATGCAGAAGTTGATACGGCAGTTCTAAGGAGGCAGAACATCACAGAGATGAGCAAGGAAAGACCCCTCCAAAGTGGTAGTGTCTAGAGTCTTGAGCACAGATGATTAGAATAGCAGTAGAGGTCCCACCAGCTGACAAGTGCTTGACTGGCTCAGGCACTCGCCTGCCCCAGAACTTACTTGGCTAGGAGCTTTTTGAATTTGTTGTCTGCAGAACAACCAAAGGTGCTACCCATCTTCTTTTCCACCTGAGGAGGTGGCTGTACTTGGCCAAGTGCTTAGATGGGCAAGGGGCCGCAGCCTTGGTTGACCTAGTACAGATCCTCACCATGAGTTTGGCAATGCAAGAATCTTCAGTCACCCCAACACAGTGGGAAATAGCGCCCTATCCTTCGGCCTGGGCCACTTTGCACTCCTGAAGAGATTCCATCATGGGGTCTGTCTGATTCACCTTGAGTAGGAGGCAGTTGCCCGAGTCCTTGTCTGTAGTCTTGGTAGTTCCTTTCCGGCTGGGCACAGGGAGATGATTCCCTGTCACATGGATATAACCTGCACTAGCAGAGAGCTTCTGCCAAGTTTCTCGGTCATCCTGGTCCAAGGCATCTTCAGTAGACACCACCGAGTAGTCCTTGATGAAGGACTTGTACCTGCCTACCAGCTGGTCAGAAGTGATGTAACTGCTAAGGACATCTGGAGGCTTGAACATCAAGGTCATATTTCCTGAACTGTAAGAACTAGAGGCTATTGTCCATGCCATTCACTACTTATAATACAGCCAGGCTTTCTAATCACATTCCATAGCAGCTCCAGTGTTCTGTATTCTCTAGGATATGAGTCAGCAAACTTTTTCCAAAGAGGCCAAATGTAAATATTTTAGGCTGTATGGGACAAGAGGAAAAACAGATGGTACTATGCAGGTACTTAAGTAACAAGAGAGAAAATAAGTTTCTACCAATAATTTATTGACAAAATTTAAGCTATAGTCATAATTGAGACCACGTTTTTGTCATAAAAAACTTCACTAGGCCTGGTAATGAGAATAATGTAATTTTGTGGGGGAGGGCACATGATTTTGCTTAATTAGGATTCAAAGTTATTATTCCAGCCATCATGACGGAAAGGTAGCCTCGTTCTTCTACAAAGCCTTTCCTTGGTTCTCTGAGACACTGTTATCTTCCCTCTTGTGAACACACCAGAATGTGATACCTGAATCTCTCTTTAGGAACTTACCTTCTACCTTTAAAGCACTGGGGAACTTTTCATACAAGGAAGCACGTTAAGAGAGTAAGCTCGGAGCTAACACTCGCTGGGTCTGTAATTATAGCTGAACAAATCATTATCTGTATGATCTTTGAGTATTACTTAACCTATCTAGAAGCTTCCATCTGTTTTCTCATCTATAGAGTAATAGTATCTACTTCATGGGTTCATTGTAAAGATCACATGAGCTAATGAATGCAAAGAGTAAGAACAGTGTTTGATTTATTGTAAATCATTTGATACTGATGTTATTCTTCTTTTGAATTTTTCTATTTTTGGCTGGAGGACAAGCCATGTAATAACAAGGAGCTGGCTGGATTTCACCTGTGAGCCAATATTTGCTAATTCCTGCTCTACGATGTGAAAAGCAAAACACCCCTTGTCCTCACTAGGAGGAATCTTTGCCATATTTCTGCCTGATGACATCCTTCTGGTAAAGCACGGCTTTCCTGAGGTTACGGTTCTAGCAGGGAGAACCATGAACTCCTGCACTGCCGGCCCATTACCACTGTGAAAACTACCATGGACCTTGCTGAAAGCTGGCATTGGCTAGATACTTTTGGATTGCCAGCCAGGACCCATTGTGACAGTATAGGTGGCTCCTTGCAGCAGCTTCAACATCACAGACAGCAAGCAGCACTTCTAGTAAGGTCTTTGCACCCAATTTAGATGTGTTCCCAGTTAGATTTAAATTCATGCCTTCTTCCAGTTTGTTACTGTCCCCCAATTTCACACACACAGCTTCTTGCTCACCAAGACGGGCGGAATAGCTTTATTGAGGTGCTCAACAGCCTTTGAGATACTTTTCCTATACAGCAAGTCTTAGCCTTGTACTGAAGCTCTTGAACCTCATAGATACTGAGACACCGCTGGGCACAGCAGCTCTGGAGACCTATGCTGGTTTCAGCCTTGATAGTGTTGTTTCCATGACAGTTGCCATCTCTGGTATTGGGCGTCTGAGGGTGTTGCAGGGGCCAATGGGGAGAATTTTGGGTGTCTCTCTTTTTATGATGACTCCTGAGCTCTCCTTATTGACTGCTCAGTTCTTTTCTTGCCATCCCTTCTGCCTTCAATTTAAACATTAGCTTGATTGGATTTATCTTTTTGCTTCGATTCCAGCAAACTTTTGCTTGTTAATCAGCTTTTATTGGTGTACAAAAAGGTACCAGCTCACCCTTGGCTCTCTCCTTTGCTCAACTTCAGAAAACATCCCTGAGAACTTTGGGCTTTCATTATGTTCCAGCCAATTTCCCTAGTCTTTACATAAAGGTACTTAGAGGCATCTGCACATCAAAATGCAAGTAAACAAGTCACCTGGATGCCAAGCATTTCTCACTGCAATCGTTCCTGATCCTTCCTCTTTCTCATAATGAAACTGTGGGTCACCTATAACCGGCGGGGGGACAATATAACTTATCATCCAAGTGAACAGAAACGCCAACCAGAAAGGATTCATAAACAGGGACTACCAACTGAAGCAGGACTCGTCCTCTGATCTGCACCCATCTTATAAAGGAGACAGCCTTTAAAATACAGACTTCTGGCTGGGTGCAGTGGCTCATACTTGTAATCCCAGCACTTTGGGAGGCCAAGGCAGGCAGATCACGAAGTCAATAGATCGAGACCATCCTGGCCAACATGGTGAAACCCCGTCTCTAATCAAAATACAAAAAATTAGCTGGGCGTGGTGGTGCACGCCTGTAATCCTAGCTACTCCGGAGGCTGAGGCAGGAGAATCGCTTGAACTCAGGAGGCGGAGGTTGCAGTGAGCCGAGATCGCGCCACTGCACTCCAGCCTGGCGACAGAGCGAGACTCTATCTCAAAGAAACAAACAAAGCAACAACAAAAAACAGACTTCTAAGATAATGCTGCATTCTGAAATCCTTAACACTCAAAATCCCAGAAACCAAAGCAATTAAAACCCAGGGCAATACATATATGTATGCTGTTGGTTGAACTGGACCTAGTGAAAAGTTGTGGGCAGAGAGGACTACTTCTCTATGGTGCTCATGGCTATAGAGCCTTTGCTGGTTCCCCCATCCCAATTTTGGAGCTCCCTACTATACAACGAGCCTGGGCCTCTCACCCTGCCTCGGCGTCCTGGACATACCTGCAGAAGGGTGCCCCCTATATTCAGCCACCATTATCTCTATGCGTTCGGCTTCAGCACCCCCTCCCCAGACCATGGCCAGGCACAGGATGCGGGTCCTGCTCATCTCTGCGTTGCTGTGGGAGGGTGTATTTCCCGCACACCCAGTGTGTTCTAGAGAGGACCACTCAATGGAGAGATGAGCCCAAATCACCGAAGATGACCCTCTCCTGTAGAAAACAGGATTCAGAGAAGTCCATATTCCCCTCAGCGATTTCTCTCTCGCCAGCTCTTTGCAAACTTTCTCAGGTCCGTCTACACTAGTTGTCTCTGTTTCCTCACTCCACCCCCTGCTTCTTCTGAGCCTGCCTGGTTTGTGTTCCTGTCCCTGTACCAAGAGAGCTCTGATATGGCCACCTTGCAATGACATTCTTCAGCCCCCAGATGGCTGGAACCGCATCGGTGTTGGATGAGGGTGGCCACTCCCTCCTTCCTGGAGAGGTGAACTGGGGCTCCCTGGGTCTGGTTCCCACCTTCTGCCTGGCTCACACGTGGCCCCGGAGAGACCTTCTCTCTGGGAGTGGGGAGGCAAATGTCCCCTTGGGCACCCCCTGGAGGAAACATGCTGCGGCTAAGAGACATGACAAAGGATCCCAAATGAAGGGATGGGTTAGAGTCCCCAGGGCATCTTTAAGAGCCTTCTGGCCCAGAAAATCCTTTATTTTACGTCATCCCCTCACAACACTTTACGACTTCATTTAAAATGGCATAAAATTCCTCCTTGATCCTACTGTTCCCCTGGCAGAGGTGCCACAATTAAAAATTGTGATTTTTCTCTGTATTTACACCCAACAAGATTTTGTTCAGCATTACTTTCTACAGTTTTTCTATACCGTTTGAATATATACATATATATTTTCAAACTAAACAGCTTCTCTCCCCCTCAATCAAAGTTCACTCTGTAAGAGTGATGCCTCCACCATCCCAAATGATCATTCTTGTCCCAGACAGGACAAAAATTCTCTTGCCTGTCTCTTCCTTAGACATGGATGCAGATTCCAAGACATCAATTAAAAATATTAAGAACTTCATTCCCTTGAGCCCCTCCATGTGCCAGGCACTCTACCGAAGCCTTTTTTTTTTTTTTTTTTTTTGAGGGAGGGTCTCACTCCTGTCGCCCAGACTAGAGTGCAGTGGCGTGATCATGGCTCACCATAGCCTCGACTTCCCGGGCTCAGCTGATTCTCCCACCTCAGCCTCCCAAGTAGCTGAGACTACAGGCGTGTGCCACCATGCCCCATATTTTTTTTTTGTTTGTTATTTTTAGTAGAGTTTGGGTTTTGCCATGTTGCTCAGGTTGGTGTTGATCTCCTGGGCTCAAGTGATCTTCTGGGCTCAGCCTCCCAAACTGCTGGGATTATAGGCGTGAGCCACCATGCCAGGCCCATAGTAACTTTCTTATTTCTGACTTGGTTTTGGAAATAGGACACCCAGGCTCAAAAAGGTTAAGTGATTTGCCCAGGGCCACCCAGCAAGCAAAGCAGCAGAGCAAGGATTTGATTGTGGTCTGCATGAAGCCCAACCTCCTATGCCTGCAGAAAGTGGCCCCCTGCGTCCTGCCCTTCACCTCCTGCCTAAATATATGTCGAGGAGGCCCCAGAGAATTAAGAGGAAGCAAGGGTTACTCAGCAAATAGTTGTGAGATGGCAAGTTAGCTAAGTGGGAAAATATTCAAGCTAGACTCTCCGCTCACATTACACTATAAGGATAAGGCGTGACCCAGACACTCAAAGCGATGTATAGGAGCAGTTTTATATGAAAATTCATGCAATCCGCCATTGCTTAGTTACTCAGCGTCCATTATTGACAGTCACTGGGCCTTGCACTGCAGATACATTGTTAACCTCAGATGTCATTTTTCCTTTTCTATTGTAGGAGAAATATACTACACAGAACCTTAACCAAGAGGTTGGCAGCCCTGAAAACTCCTCATTTCATTCATGTCACATGGTATGGATAAATCCATGCTCTTTAAAGAGAAGCAGAACGCCCATCCAGTGTGCCATGCTTTGCTCTTGAGTCTGCCTCGAGGGGACTTGAAAGACCCCTGCCTTCAACCAGGCTTTCTTCCCTCTCTTTTGTTCCCTTCCTGATGTACCCGCATTCAGACACAACATCCCTGTGAATGTCAGCTGCAGCCTCTTCGTGAGAGAATTTCTGGAGGGCACTCAATTTGGGGAGGACTTTGAAGTCACTTTTCTTCTGGGTATTTGATGTGTCCCCTTCCCCACCTGCCTGGTTCTAAGGCAACGGCCACTTCCTCTGCTCCAGCAGCCATGGTGGTTACCACTCAGGAAGCCTTGGTGTCAGATGGAAGGAGGATGGATGGGACCACCGGCAGAGGGGACTGGAGTTCTGGTTCCTGATGGGTTCTAGTTTTGCAGCCCTAGACCTCTCTCAGTTTTGATGTCCTCCTCTGTCAATTGGGGTTCCTGCTGTAGGATTAAAATAAGAAGGACTGGACAGAGGTGGATGTTAGTTGCAGTATTGTTGAAGGTGATGGCTACTGCCCTTTGGAAAGGAACAAACCAGTTGCTGCCTGTGGAGTTTGACAAGTCCCCTTGGAAAAGCTGTCCTTGGGTAAGTTGGTTTTGAAGAGTGCAGTCCATTAGGGAGAAATAAGAATCAGTGGAGGAGAGAAAGTGGAGCGTGCTAGCGTGGTAGAACAGGCACCTGCTGTTGCCCCTGCAGCTTTCATGGATGGAGTGCTGGGGGCCCGTTCAGAGCGGGGCCTGCTGGGGAGTGGACATGTGCATTTTTTTTTCTTCAGCACAAGAGGCACATCCGAAGATCACATGGCCAGGAGGTGGGCAAGGCCTGCCCACAATCCACGGGGCTGTGCAGGACTGAATCCCGACGGGACCCTGGCAGGGAGACCCTTGCAGTATGTCCCCATGTCTCCTGGAGCGGGTCCAACGGCACGTTCTCTCTGCTCTGTCAGTGACCTGAGCATGACCCTGAAGTACCCCTTAGGCCATAGACTTCCCGCCTCCTTCATCCTCTGGCAACACTTTCTCCGGGTTTTCTTTGACCTTCTCTTTCCCAGCCCCTCAGGATGCTGGGGTTGGTGTGAGTGTGCCCTTTGCACGCGCCGGTTTTCCAAACCCTGCTTCCATTGTCCCTCGGTGTCTGATCTGCCTCTGGACACCTCACTCCCGGCTCCAGTCACAGCACAACCTGGCTGCCTCCACACACCTCCCACCCACCTCCACCCCTTCCACCTGTCTCTCCCGGTGTCCTCTCAGGGAATGGCAGCCACCCCTAGTTCATTCAGAACCAGGGTGATGTCCACACTCCCCACTCTCCCTCACCACACCCCCACCCCCCCTTCAAGTGTCCCCCAGCCTCCAGATTTGAGCTCGTCCACCTGAGGGTGAGTGCCAGTGCCCTCATCCCTCTGCCATGAATCTCTCCTGTGCCTCCGTCTTATCTGCGATGTGCAGAGACTGCTGATCTGCCAGCCCTCCCTACACAGACACAGCTTTCCGAAATGCAGTGTGCCACATGCCTCTCTCTCCTTTAAACTCTTCAGTCTCTCTTACCGACCCCTGCAGCTTTCAGAATGAGGTTCAGATCCCTTAGCATGGCACAGAGACCCTTTCTGAACTGCCCCTTCAGCCTCATCTTCTTTTCCACACATCCACCTCCTACCAAGGGGCAGTTTCTGGAATGCGTGACTCAGTTCACAAGCCTGTGTCTTTAAATATCGTGCCCTCTCTCTGGAATCCCTTGTTCTATTTTTCATTTGCTGACTTCAGAGTTTATACACTGCCAGCCCTGGGTCATATCTAGCCTAAACATGTGTTCAGGGGCTTGCATGTTCGACCTTTTTAAAATCAGAGGCTACTGTTTAAAACTCAAGAGACTAGTCGTTATAAAATATCCTCATTTCTGGCTCCTTCTAAACAGTCAGAAGATCTGGTAACAGTGAACCATAGTCATTGCTGGAGTTGGGAAGTATCTGTGTCCTCTTGTTGTGGGGGCGGGGTGGGGGGTGTATATGCTACATTTTTCTACAGCCCACACTACTCCCTACTGTCTTACACTGAGCGTCATCACTTATATCTGTGACTTGCCTGGACCCTAAAGGCATTTGGGTTTAAGATCCCTAGACTCGTCCTATCAATTAGCAAAATTCAGCTCATGTCACTTTCTCCACAAACTTCCCTGACTCAGAAACCCCTCCCGTGCCAGGTACATTAGGACTGCAGGCCCTAAGGAAATGGCAGAGGTGCTAGTTTCTTGCCTCTTCTCAGTCTCAGCTGACCAGATCCTTATTGATAAAATCAAGCAGAAGCAGTAGGAGGAACACCCAGGGGCATGGTCATTTTCTCCCTGTAATGTTCAGAAACAAAAGCTTAGGAGAAGGAAATTCAGGAGTTCTATGCTTCCTAAGACACTTGATGAGGCTGCTTCCTGGGCTTGCTGAGGACCAACAGATAGAATAGGAAGAGGAAGCCAGCCCTGGCCTCTGGAAGGGTAACAGCCCCAGGTGTCTTCAGGCATCAGCCATGACCTCCGTCCCCACTTTTCCCAGCCATGCTCTTTTAGGAGCCCAGGGCTCTGGGGAGGAAAGGGGGCGGAGGAGAGGTTCTGCCTCTTGGGTCCTCCCTGTGAGCCACTTCCTGATTGGCTAGGGGAAAGCCCAAATATGTGTTCAGGGTGGAAGAAATTAACTCCAGCCATGTTGACTTAGGGCATGGGAAATGGCTGCGTCCAACTAATGCCACGATAGCTTGTGGTGGGTACGGGTGGGGTGGTGACGGGTCATAGAGAGGATGGTGGCCCCAGGGATGTGACCAGCTTGATGCTAGAATCAGGTGACTGGATGCAAGCATGAGAAGAACCTTGCTCGGATGGATGGATGTTGAGAAGAGTAATCATTACCAGAGTTAATGCTGCCTGGGCCCTTGCCACATGGCAGTCCCTGCTGTGGATTTACTCTTTTCATCCCTGTCCCAACCCTATGAGTTCGGCATTTTTCTTCCTCCAACTGACTTAGAGATGTTAAGCATCGCATGCCAAGATTGACAGTGAGGAGGGAGCTCTAGGCGGGATTTGAATACACCTCTGTCTGACAGATTGTCTCCAAATTGGGGAGTAGGTGCAAAGGTGAGGTTGGGGTAGGGGCTTGTCAGAACCTGAGATGAGTCAAAACTGGAATGTAGTCTCACAGGAACAAACTGACAAGGGAAGCCAGAGGACAGGGCCAAGCAGCCAATGTACCTGGGTCACTACACCTGACTCCAGACAGACGCCAGAGCTTCACCCAGTCAGATCCGAGAGGCAGAGGTACGAAGCCAGGTCAGGGCAAGGGGAGTGTGTGCAGGGACCTGGGGTTGTCCCCTGTGATTTTATTCCTATGCCTTCCTTCTTGGCAGTTCTGGGCCTGTGCTTTGAATATTTCCAGCAGATTCCATCAGGACGTTCAGGCTGTGCAGAAGGCGGGGAGGCTGGCTTGTGTTCTGAACACCCACAGAAGAGAGGTACAAAGAAGAATCAATGGGTCCTTTCCTCTTTGCTTTTCCCATTGCCCTGAGTATCAGCACAGACTCCCACTTTGGGCTGGGCCTGGAGGGGACATGAAAGTCACAGCCTATTAGCCCCCAGGGTCTGGGCTGGTGCCTATAGACGGTGCCCTGAGGGCAATGGCTGAAGGTGTCATTGAGGGCATCACACCGGGGGCTGCCTCAGAGCCTCACCCTCTCCCCACACTCCTGCCATCAATTTCTTATAGAAAACTGCAAGAAAGAGGGCCGGAGTGAAAAGGGATTGTCTGCCGCTCTCTAGGGATTAGAAGAATCCAAAGGCAGAGAGAATTCTTCCCTGCTGACTTCTCCACATGACCGCAGGGGCCTGACAAGTGGACAGGAGATTTAACCCTTTTGTCCTAGGCAGATCACATGCACGTGTCAAGCACCCTGGCACACAAAGGGCTTCCCGGGACACATCTGGAATAGGGCAGTACTTCAGTAAGTGTGCAGTGAGGATGCGCGGAAACTACCCACCCACTGGCCGGGAGGAGGAGGGAAATGGGACATGGCTTCCCTGTTTTCTTGACAAACATACCTCTTTGATACAACACTATAAAAATAAAATGAGGTGGCAAATGAGAACACAGTCTTCGGTATGGTCCCTAGCTCCACCTTAACTCGCAGAATATTCAGACTGAGTTTCCTCACTCCTTCAGAAGGGTGAACTGTGAAGAGTAAAAAAGGTAATGAAAACATATCAACAGCTGGCAGATGCTATTTTCATTTTAATGTAATTACTGTTCTGATTAAAAGTTTTCTGAGAGGAGGATAGGTTATGGCTGAGTTCTACCTTCCCTTCTCTTTGTTTCAATTAACATGCCTTTCTTTTTCGAGCATCATGGAGCACCTACTCTGCAACGGGCACTGAGCAGGGCTCTAGGGTTGCAGTGGGAATGGAGACAAATTGTCTCCAGTTTGAAGGTGCTTAAAATAGAAATTTGGGGACATGAAACAAACGCACACTCACCCCCCTCCCCACCCTACACCCCCCACCAGCCAGCAAAGGAACAGAGCTATAAACACCTACCCATTACTGGGCAATGCTGAGAAGAAAACAGAGGCAAGGGCTGGGTGCAGTGGCTCACGCCTGTAATCCCAGCACTTTGGGAGGCCGAGGTGGGCGAATCACTTGAGGCCAAGAGTTTGATACCAGCTGGCAAACATGGTGAAAGCCCATTCCTACTAAAAATACAAAAAATTAGCTGGGTGTGGTGGCATGCGCCTGTAATCCCAGCTGCTTGGGAGGCTGAGGCATGAGACTTGCTTGAACCTGGGAGGCAGTGGTTGCAGTGAGCCAAGATCGCACCACTGCACTCCAGCCTGGGTGACAGAGCAAGACCCTGTCTCAAAACAAACAAACAAACAAAACAAAAACAAAAACACAGAGGCAAATGGTGGTGCATACCAGACTGCATGGATACTGGGGAGTGGACAGGAAGGGCTGTTTCAAGAGATGGCATCTGTCAGAACTCTGAAGGAAGATGGGGAACCAGCCTTGCAAAGGGCTGTGGGAAGAATATCAGGCAGAGAGGTCTGCATGGGCCACAACTTGAAAGGCAAGAAGAGCCTAATGGGTTAGAGGATCCCAATCTTCCCTCCTTTAAAATTTACCATGTTTCCAGGCCCTGCTCACCCCTTCATCTCTCCTCTGAACCTTCATCCCTCCTCTTCCCCTCCCCACCTCTGCCATTTGGTCTCATTTTCACCTGACTGTGACCCTATCATTGAACCTCTCCCCCCTTCCTTCCCTCCTCTCATTTCTTTAGTTATTTTTACAGATGCACTCTTTTATTTTTAAAATATTATTCTCCTGCCTGCCTCCACCCCTCACCCACTTCTCCTTCCTTTTCACACCTCCGGCAAGGCCAGTATGCCCTCTCTGGCCCCTTTATCAGAGACCTCTCTTTGGAATCTCGCTTCACCCCACAATTCCAAGGAAGGAGGTATCTCTCAAATGCCACTGGGGATCTGCCGACAACCTGGCCTGAGGCCCTCGTCTGTAAGGACCCTCCCACCGGGAGCACCTGCCTGTCTTGCCTTGCTTCTTCCTCTTGGTTGCCTCGTACTTCCCTCACTGCCCTTCTGCATGGCCTTTGCTACCTTGGTTTCTGTTTCCAATTCTCTAAATCAGAGCAAAGACCCAAGCTTAATTCTGGGGTCTTTTCTACTTTAGAGATTTTATCTACACTAAGAGCTTCAACTGCCATCTCCCCCAGAGGGCTTCAGATCTAGCCTAACCTCCAGCCTAACTTCTCTCCTGTTATTCTCTTACGAATTGGTCCCCAGCTGCCCACCATTGAGGTGACTGTGGACAAGTCACTTCCTATCTCAGGGCCTCAGTGGCTGTACCTATAAAATGAAAGAGGGGTGGTTCTGCTGCCCTCTTATCCCCTAGTTGCTCCAGTAAGTGGTGGCTTAATAATTTTTAAATTGTCTTCATTTCCACATAGATAAACTCAGCCTCTTAAAATGATCATGTTTAAAACCAAACTCACTATAGGACCATAACACACAGCTTCCCCTCTGATGTCCTGCACCCACAGTGGGCTCAGTTGTTCATGCAGCTGTTACTGACTGTCCCGAGAGTGCTGCAGAGCTGTCATTTCTTCTTCATAACCATGGCTTCCTAACTCCCTCTTCCTTTTCAACACCCCCGCCCGACCCTCAATGCTACTCCCATGGGTGGTCTTCCCGGCACCTGCCCCCTCCAAGCAACTGATGCATCGTCTGCACATACCTTTGGTCAAAGCACTTCAAGGGTCCCAACTGTCCACAGCGGCTCCTCTTAAGCTTTTGTGGGTCCCTTTGGGAATCCTTTGAAATGTTTGAACCATCTGCTCAGAAAAATGCCTACAATTTCAAGGGGTTCGTGGATCTGAACCCCATCACAGATTCTTTAGAGGTCTCCGGACCCCATGTTAAACCAAAGAAACCCTCAAAGAATCAAGTCTGAGTTCTTCAGCCCTTGACAGCCTGGCTCCAAGCCCTCTGTCCTCCCCTACTTTCCTCCACCTCTAGGCACTGCCAGAGTCTGTGGCAGCCGCGTCACAAATGTGAGAACAGCTCCTCCTTGCACATGGGAAACTTTCTTGGTCCTGGCCATTCTCTCCATCTAGGTCACCAATGTCATTCTTTTTCCAGCTCAAGTCCTTGGGCTCTTCCTTCAAGTCCCCAAATCCTGCCTTCTCTCATCCCTAGTCCTTGGTAGGGAACCCCCTCTTTGGAGCTCCTACGGTAGGAATCAGCAGTACTATGAGCACGCTATTGTTATTTTTGTTTTTATTACACGTCAGCTCACCATGGGAGGTCAGGGATGGCAATTAGGCTGATATACTACTCTCATAAGATGTTTGTTGGTGATAATGAATTTTCCTCATAGTTAAGTGAAGAAGGCTTCCAAAATCACCACATTTAACTATGCTTGAAAATAGCTTTTCTACATCCCGTTACGTGCACTCATGTGCTTTTCTAAAACTCGGTATACAGGATGTCATTTGACGGGAACACCAATCCTGCTGTGACACAACGGTCCTCTAAGTGGACTGAAGGGTGCAGCAGTGACGATGCTGTTGCTCCCCGTCCTGCAAGTTTATCAGGACGTTCCATTGAGATGTGAAAATGTCAAATGCAGTGCCTGGCAAAGAGCAGATACCCAGTATATTAGCTTGTCTTCCTCTTGCCATATAGCAGCTTTCTTTTCTTTTTAATGTAGAGCAGGTGGTAGGTGAAAATAGACCAACACCTATTTATTGCCCTGCTCTAAAATTTCAGGGCAAGGAATTTAGGGGTGTAGCAGCAAATGGATTTGCTATTTCCAGTGAGGCTGAACTCCACTGCACAGGAAAACTCCTTGAGACAGCTCTCCAGTTTTGTTGCTCTAGAGCAAGTGAAGACCTGTAGGTCCATTGAGTCCACTTTTTATAAATGCGAAAACTGAGGCCCAAAGACGTTAGGGCCTGCCCTTAGGGCAATGGCCTGGTGGTGGCAAATCCACAACCAAAGCCCAGACCCCGAAACTCTCACCTCCAGACACATTCCTCGTCATTACACAACTCGCTCCCCCACCAGATCACAAACTCCATGAGCACCTTCCCTATGCTGTACTCATCTTTTCAGTCGCCAGCACTCAGCACAGGGCTTGTAAGCACCTGTAAAATGGATCGGATGCACTTTGCTCACACACAGCTTTGCAATGACTGCACAAAGCTCATGGTAACCATCACAGAAACCAGGTACCAGGAAACCGTCCTGACGCCTTTTTCCAGGGGCACTGTGAGTGCCTTATAAGGCTGCTGTTTTTGCACCTAATCAGGAGCAGATTGGCTTTTCCAGCAGGGTGGCTCGTGGCACACAGTCTGTGCTGGTGATGCTGCAATGCTGCATTTGAGAAATAGTTACTGAGCATGTACCAGGTGTCATGCACTCGCTATACAGAAATGAACAGGAAAGAAATGGGCCCTTCCCTCATGAAGAATCATCGAGCGGAAAATGAAAAAAGCAGAACAAAAGTAAATAGACCACCTAGTCCAGACAGAACAACCCTCTCCGGCAGCTAATCTCTGCCTATTTCCAAGACAGAAAATAAAAACAACACTACACAATGGGACTCTGATGAAGACCACAAATCCCAAAGTCAACACATTTTACTTTATTTTATCTCAATTGATCTCAACTCCCAAATGCGTGAGCTTCAAAAGGTAAGATTAGGTACCATTAAGCCAGCCAGACCAGCATTGATTTGAAAACCCTCCTCCCTAATACAAGACTGAGGAGGTTGCAGGCCCTCATTAATCTCCTTGTTATCAGCTTGATCTCAGCCTGCCTGGAGCCAGCTTGCCTGATTCCCAAATCTGGTCACATCCCTCCAGTCCTTTGGCTTCTGTGCACGAGACCTCAGAGCCCATATAGAACTGCGGATTCGCCTGTTAGGAATACTTACTTAAACTGTGGGCTGGTCTTTCCCCATGAAATGAGGGGCAAAAATGAAAGTGGGTGTCTTCTCTAAATAAGACGGTACTCAGCTGGGCATGGTAGCTCATGCCTGTAATCCCAGCATTTTGGGAGGCCAAGGCGGGCGGATCATGAGGTCAGGAACTCAAGACCAGCCTGACCAACATGGTGAAACCCCGCCTCTACCCAAAATACAAAAATTAGCCGGGCATGGTGGCGCACACCTGTAATCCCAGCTATTCAGGAGGCTGAGGCAGGAGAATTGCTTGAACCCAGGAGGTGGAGGTTGCAGTGAGCTGAGATCACGCCATTGTACTCCAGCCTGGGCGACAGAGTGAGACTCCATCTCAATAAATAAATAAATAAATAAATAAATAAATAAATAAATAAATAAAAAAAATGGAACTCAGTGGATTTCAAATCAGACAATTGCACAGGGAGCTAATATAGCCCCTACCACATTTTTTTCTCCTTTGGCCATAGAGAGAAATATGTAAGTGATCCTAGAATATCAGTAACTGGGGCCTATCTCAGCCTCCCTCAAGGAACTTACTCCCTCCCCTTCATCCCTTCCCTCCTTCCTTCCCTTCTTTCTCCAAAAGAGCACCTACTTTCCACCAGGCACTGTAGCAGGAGCTGGAAGTACAACGGGGCACACATCTGAAACGGTCCTAGCCTTCAAGGAGCTACAAGCTAACAAGCAGGCAAGAAACCATGCAACAAACATGGTGTGGGGAGATGTGCCAGAGAGAGGTAGGGAGCTTCAGAGGATGGTGAGATGAGGGTCTAATCTAGTGGTGTTGCAGGGGTGAAAGGTCTTCTTGGGCCTAAGGCATCCTCCCCTCTCGGTGGGACCACCCTCTCTTGGAGGAGGGTTGTTGGACACTGTTTGAATCATTCATAAGGTTGTTTTATTCAAGGATTCTTTTGTTGTGTGCTGGGCCGTTTCCAGACACAGTTATAAATGGTTTCTGTAAGTAGGTACTTTCTGAAGGATTAACTCAGTCACTCTGGAGAGAAGTTTTGCAAGGAGTAGTCATGAGTTTGCTGCCATCCAGGGCAGATAATGACTATCGGGGAGAAGAAAGGCTGGGATGTCATTGCATAAACTTCAAACATTTTCCGGGTCTACCTTCATGCGTTTTGCTAACTAGACTTTATTGACTTAATACTTTCCTTTAAATTGACTCACTTAAAAACTTAAATGAATTTATCACAAAAGGAATCTTTATACCACTACCATAGATAGAATACCAATATCCCTTGCCCTAAATAGAAGGTAATAGCAAAAATAAATACAATTAAATTCTTGGCTTCCAGCCTGCTTGGAGACTTTCTTTATCTGGAAGAGCAGATTGGTTTTAAAAGGCTCCCCTAGACTTGCCTTCCATCACCCCTAGAGGCCTTCCCTCTCCATTCCCCTGCTTTTTATAACTGAGAGTGCAGTTTGGAACTGGACCGCAGGCTGGGCAGGCCACCAGATCCACTCAGGAACCCCCAGAACTCTAGGGAACTGTGACTGCATACGCCAACTGTGAAGTGGGGCCCTGTGCTGTGTGAAAGATCGCATCCCAGCCAAGCTCATTGGAGGGCTTAATGACACAGCTGATGAGCGCTTTGCTGTCCAGTTTCTCTAGAAATTTCCTTCAAGTGCTCCAGCACCGGGTCAAGCCTGTTTCTGGACACACTGTATCCTCCTTGGACTTATGTAATAAATCACTTCAACCCTCGGTTAAGATCTCTGCTCTCCTCATCTTATGCCTCAGGCCTCATTTGGGAGGACAAAGGAAGAGAAATATGCTAATGGCTAAAGGCTAAACCCCTGGCACCTTGGAAAACAGCCAGCTAGATCGCCACACAGTTTAAGTTCTTTTTCTGTTTCCTAAGCAGTCACTCTATCTGAGTCTCAGTTTACTTGTCCGTAAAATGGGTGTTGCAGGGGTTTTATAATAAATGTGTGAAACAATGTATAAAAAGCTCCTGGCATACACTCAGGAATCCAACCAGTGGCTGTAATAAGAATCATTATTCATTTTTCTTTGTAGTGTTTTTTTTTTTCTTTTCTTTTTTTTTTTTTTGAGACAGGGTTTCATTCTTGATGCCCAGGCTGGAGTGTAATGGTGACATCTTGACTCACTGCAACCTCCGCCTCCCAGGTTCAAGTGATCCTCCTGCTTCAGCCTCCTGAGTAGCTGAGATTACAGGCGCACACCACCACGCCCAGCTAATTTTTGTATTTTTGTAGAGATGGGTTTCGCCATGTTGCCCAGACTGGTCTCGAACTCCTGGGCTCAAGTGATCTACTCACCTCTGCCTCCCAAAGTGCTGGGATTACAGGCATGAGCCACTGTGCCTGGCCAAGAATCATTATTCATTTTTCTGATATCCATTTGGAGGTCCCTCTAGGCTGACTCTGTGATGGGCAGTGGAGCTACACTGACAGGCTACCCCTGGTGTGATGGGCCAAGGTCACTGCTTAGGGCAGGCGCTCTGTAGAAGGCAGGGAAACCAATCATTCCCCCAGCAAAGTGTGCATACACTTCACCTGGGGGCTTGTTACTGAGCGGATTCAGATTCGGCAGGTCTAGGGTTTGGAGGAGGGCCTGAGACACTACATTTCTACCAAACATCCAGATGATGTCCATGTTGCTGGTCTGAGGACCACACCGAGTGACAAGGCTCTAGCTCACTGGTTCTCAAAGTGTGGTCCTGAAATGGGCCAGCAGTGTCAGCATCACCTGGAACCTGTTAGAGATGCAAATTCTCAGGCCCTGCCCCAGGCCTGTGGAAACAGAAACTCCAGGAGGTGTCCAGCGTTCTGTTTTTAACAAATCCTCGAGGTGATTGTGATGCTCTCTCAAGTCTGAGAACTGGCTTTGGCATCTCAAGCCTCCTGGAATCCACCTCACTTGCTCCTTCCTGTGGTATTATAGAGAGCCTAAAAGGGAAGAGACAGCTGTGCCCTACCTCTTCCCAGCTCAGCAGGAGCCAAATCTTGGGATCAGTATCTCGGACTCTTTTCTTTTCAGGTTCACCCTTGAGCCAGAAACAGTTTAGAGGCCACCCGTAGGCAGGTGATAAAGAAAGGGACTTCTGGAAGCTGCGTCTGGGAGGGAGGGGGTCTGGACTGTCTTGGCCTCTCTCCCCCATCACTCTGGGCCCTCCTTGCAACTTAGGCTTTGGCAAAACCTTATGGGCCCCTCCACTAAACTTAGATGGGCAGGGCAGCCAACAAGAATTCAGAGTGGCCACACAAAAGTATGCTTGCACTTTCCACAATCCTAAATCCCAGATGTTGGGTATTTGGGCCACCTCCAGCTTGTGTATCCAAACATACAACAAAGTGATGATTTGTATTTTTCTAATTCTGTGTCTATAGCCACACCTCCCCCCTTTTCTCCCTCCATTTCCCCTGTATCTGCTTTTTGGTCCTGTATTATTTTTAAAATTAAGTAATACCCACATTGATGTTGCTTTGTTGAAAATCACAACTGTGCTCTTAAAATAAGTCAGTGTGTCCCGAGCACCTGCCAGGCACTCTTCTGGCTGCTTGCGCGCGTGTGTGTTTCAATTGTGGGAAAATACACATAACATGCAATTTACCATCTTAGCTATTTTTAAGTGTTCGGTTCAGTAGCATTAAGACATTCATATTATTCTGCAGCTATCATTACCATCCGTCTGCTGAACTCTTTTCATCTTGCAAAACTGAAACTTTATACCCATTAAACAAATTCCCCTTCTCCTTCCCCAGACCCTGGCAACCGCCATTCTACTTTCTGTCTCCATCAATTTGACCATTCCAGATGCCTCATGTACGTAGAACCATACAGTATTTGTGCTTTGGCCACTGGCTTATTCCACTCAGCATAATGTTCTCAAAGTTCACCCATCTTATAGCTTGTGTCAGAATTTCCTTCCTTTTTAAGATTGAATAATATTCCATTGTATGGATATACCTTTTTAAAAAAAATTTTTAAGAACAGGGTCTTGCTATATTGCCCAGGCATGTCCAAACTCCTGGGCTCAAGCTATCCTCCTGCCTGTGCCTCCCTAAGAGCTGGGATTACAGGGGTGAGCCACCACGCCCAGCATCTACCATATTTTGTTTATCCATTCACTCATTGACGGATACCTGGGTTGCTTCCACCTTTTAGCTACCGTGAATAAGGTTACTATGAACATGGGTGTACAAATATCTGTTTGAGTCCCTGTTTCCAATTTTTTTTTTTTTTTTTGAGATGGAGTCTTGCTCTGTCACCCAGGCTGGAGTGCAGTGGCATGATCTAGGCTCACTGCAACCTCCGCCTCCCGGGTTCAACCTATTCTCCTGTCTCAGCCTCCGAGTAGCTGGGACTACAGGCATGCAGCACTACACCCAGCTAATTTTTTTTTTTTTTTTTTTGTATTTTTAGTAAAGACAGGGTTTCACCATGTTGGCCAGGCTGGTCTCAAACTCCTGACCTCAGGTAATCCACCCACCTCGGCCTCCCAAAGTGTTGAGATTACAGGTGTGAGCCACCACACCTGGCCCCTGCTTTCAATTCTTTTGAATATACACCCAGAAGTGGAATTGCTGGACCATATGGTAATTCTACGTTAAATTTTTTGAGGAACCGTCATACTGTTTTCCATAGTAGCTGTACCATTTTACATTCCCACCATTTGTGTTTTATTTAATCCTCAGAACACTGTAAGTTGGGTATCATTAACCCCATTATACAGATTAGGAAACTGAGACTCAGAAAGGTGAGGTCATTTGCCTGAACTCACACAGGTAATAAGTGTTCCACTGAAGACTGGAGCCTTAATCTTCCAAGAGTAGCTCTCAGTTGCTCCAAAGGTCTGGCCCAATGTCCTGAATTATATGCCATGAATCCAGCTCTGGCAAGAACTTGTCAGTCCTTACAGATAAACGTAAGGCCCCAGGTTGGCAGCAGGGAGAGATGTATGATGAATACCTAAGTGAGCCATTCTGGCATTCTGCTGGAGGTTAGAGCTATGGTATGGTGGGCAGTTCTGGCAGGTTGGGGAAGGGCCTGTGGAGCCTTAACTGGCTTTACTACCAAGGCTGGGCCATCACAGGTCTTTCTTTGGGATGCCGTCTGTCAGCACGTTGCTGCCTTTGTGTCCAGCCGGCCTAAGAGGCTCCCTGCCCGGGCCAAGACAGAACACCACGGGGAGTTTCTCTCTTGCCCTTCTCTTTGCTTCTCCTGGGAACTAAATGTTTTGATTAGCATACAATTTGGGCATCATCCTGAGTCCACCTAAAGTCAAATCCCAAATTGTGGGAACCTCAAGAGATGCAGTAGGAGGGCCTTTACTGCTTGTAGGAAAATAGCAAACTAAAGTCACCTGCCCTATCAATTTACTAATTCACTTTCTCCAGACATCTTATGCCTCCCGCCTTCATTATTAAGCTACTCTGGCAGTTACCAAGAAGGCGTGAATTAACCCTGGGTATCACTCCTCCGCGTGCAGCCGATTTTCAAAATTAGAACTGGGGAAGCTCAATAACAAGTGCTCACACCTCCCCAGGTAGAGTCCAGGTATGTCTGCCTCTTCCAGAGCCTCCGCTGAAGTGTTGTGCCCGATGGTGACAGATGCCATTGTGTTCGCGAAGCTATCTGACATGATGAGTCTATTCTATCGTCTCAAAAGTTTCCAGCATCTTTGTGCAAACTCTCTGCATGGTACAGAAAACGGGATAAAGTGTAGGAGGCCCAGGGCAGGAGGCATGAGGAATGGGGGTGAGCAGCCAGGTAACCTCAGTATAAAAAAGTGGCTAAGACCAGATGGACCATGGAGTCAGGCAAACCTGGGTGGAATCCCAGCTCCATGTTTACTAGCTGTGTGACCTTAGCAAGTCCCGAGACCTCTCTGAGTCTCCATTTCCTCATCTGCAAATGGACTAACAGGGTGCTTGGGAAGGTTGAGTGAGGTGATACATGTGAGCTCTCAGCAGAATGTGGTTACAGTAGGAAAGGGGGCTCCTTGGGATGTGCTATCTCCTTGCATTAAGCCTGGCCCCTCCCCGAAGGGCTCCCTCCCTCCGTCACTCACTCCCTCCCTCCTTCCCTTCCTTGTCAGGCTCCACTGACCTGGGGAAGCTGACAGCACCAACTCTTCTGTCTTCCCCTAGAAGAAAATTCCTCCAGGCCTTGATCATTTGTGTTGTTTTTCTCTTCTCTCTCAGTGTGTCTCTCTCTCTCTCTCTCTCTCTGGTAATGAGATGGTCAAACAAATGCCATGCTCCGGAGCCATTCTGATGAGACTCCGTGCGGGGAAGCTGGTGTGAGAGGAGAGGAAATGTGGGGAGGCAGAGGCAGAGCGGTGTGCCCCTGGCCGTCATTCCGCATTAAGGTGTTTTGGAACTGGCAACCCTAAATTGTACTGATCTTTTGGCTGCCATGTCCCATTATGGCCTGGGCTCCAACATGCTATCCCCTAAGTTTCCTTCAGCATCGCTACATCCCAGGGTTCTCTCTCCCACAGACCTTTGTGTTTCCAAGGCTTATTCCTTGAAAATACAAGCACGCATCTCTTCCCCACTGGATGTCATTTAAGACATCGTTTTTTGGAGAATTATCCTTGTTCCTGGGAGCCTGGGTTTGAATCCCAGCTCTGCACCTTACTAGCTGTGTTATTTAACTGCTCTGGGCCTCAGTTCACTAATCTGTAAAAGGGAGATAATAATAACATAGACCTCCTCAGACTGTTGGGAGGATTACAGGTGTGAATACAGCTAAAGTGTTTAGAAAATCATTTGGACCCCAGCAGACACAGACAAAATATGACTTTGTTGTTATTCTCTGCTGGCATCAGCCTCCATGGGGAAGAAAATATGTGAGGAGTGAGGCTACTTCCTGAAATGAGCTTTTCAGAATACCTTGTGGATCCAGACCCCAGACAATCAGATTTCAAGGACCCATAGTATTTCCAAAACACTGGGGGTGGGGACTCATGAGGTTACCACCCTCTTCAGCCAAGGGAGAATTTCATAGCTACCATCACTCCCTTTCATAAAAGAAAGGACATCTTAGTATCCCAAAGGAAAAAGGAACATTATCTCAGAATATAGAAGAGTTCTTTTCAGGCAATGGCAGCTGGCAACTTGAAACTATTAATAATCATGGCTACATTGCACTTTTTTTTTTTTTTCTGGCTCCTTTCAGATCACCACTCCTCTGTGGCTCACTATTTGGGAACCACTGACCTAGGGGTTCTTTCATCCTTTGGCCATCAACTAAGAAGCTGGAGGAGGAGGAGGAGGAATTGTTTCCCTGAACCTTAAAAAAGGTCCAGGAAGCAAAGCTGAGTCCCTCCGCATTCCTTCAATAATAAAAAAAAAAGGCACTGGGAAACCCTTGGACAGAGCTGAGAGCTTCATGCTTGCAGAGCAGTTTGGGAAGTCAAAGGCACACCCACACAGCGAGGCTGGATGCTGGATTTCCCAGGGGAGTGAATCGGGATCCCAAGTGCTTGAAAGTGTCAGGAGGAACCTCGACTGCCAACGTGTAATACAGACACATGTCGTGTCGGGGCCGCTGCTCTCCCCAGTTGGAGCCGTTTCCTCCTTGCCATCGTCGCGAAGTCAGTGACAGCCAAAGCTGAGAAAACATGGGACACACAGGTCCCGTCAGGACACCGGGCAGCTTCCTAGCTGGGTGATAAATTGCAGGAGACTAAAGAGAATTTAAAACCAGCCCAGATGCCACCCAAGAGAGTGACTAATCTCAACGCTTAAGGACCAGCCTTGGCTCTGGAGAGATGGTAAGCAAGCCCAGGGGCGGTCAGCCGGCCGGCCACAGGCGACGGTGTCTCACCCCACAGTGCCTCTCCGGAAGATGAGCTTGTCCCCACGCCCTGGCAGGAGATAGCCACCTGACTCACCCAGCTGGTGGCTTTCATGTTCCTGTCCCTCCCCCGGCCGTTTCCACTGTATCCTCCCAACTGTCTCTAACTCATCTCTGCTTGAGACAGCTGAGAGAGATGAGGCTCCGGACCTTATCTAGGATCCACACAGCTGCCCCAAGTCTTGACCCGTCATGAGGATTCACTGGTTTGACCAGTGTTTTCAAATAAAAACACCACTAGAAGGTGCTTCATGAGGAAAATCTTTGAGATGACACATCCCGACCTGACCTCACATTTCTTACTGTCAACGTCTCTAACACTCAGTTTCCAGCATCCTACCTGGGGACCAGCCCTTGCACGGAAACAGCTGGCCCTGCGTTCCTGGTCTGCTCTCAACGCCACTATGGAAGCCCTGAAGGGGATTAAGGTAGACGGGGCCGGCTGTCCTTCCAGGCAGGAGGGGGCAGCCTCAGCAGCACTGTGGGCAGTGGAGGGCTGGAAAGGGCTCTCTGGAGAACCAACAGCCGGCAGAGGCTTGGCATCTGGGCTCTAGATCTTTGGTTTTTACCTAAACTGGCAGGGGGCAAACACCACTGGGTCCTCTGCTTTTACAAATTAGAAAGCAGCTTTTATTTCCATTGGCCCCAAACATTCCGCAATGGTGAATAACGTCATAGCCAGACTGTGCTCTTCACTGGGATGCACCCTCCACGCTAGATACACAGGAAAAGCAGGGGGCTTCCAGATCAAGCAGAGGGTGTTTAATTGTTGTTAGAATAGTATGTACTTTTGGGAGCAGAGAGGCTGAATGCTTATTTTTGGCATATCCTCGGTCAGAGTTTGTTCCTTCAAAAAATATTTAATAGGCTTCATTTACTAAACCATATACGTATCACCAGGGGCTGGAGATAAAGGATAAATAAAATATAATTGTGAAATGCATGTCCATGGGGTGCTGCATGATGGGGTGCTAGGGTGCACACAGGAGGGGCAACCAATGCAGATGTCTCGGAAGGGGACGGGGTCTAGGAGATACCAGATCTTAGCCTGGAAGAAGACAGAGCAGTGAGAGAAAGGAAGGGCCTGGGAGGAGCAGGGCAACAGCAGGAAGGATGGTGTGTGCGCAAGGAGGGCATTCCACAGAGCAGGAGCGGGATGTGCAAAGGCACAGAGGTATGAAATCCTAGGACATTTTGGGGAACCTGTAAGCAATACAAAAATGGCTGGAGCCCAGGCCGGCTACAGACAGAGGCAAAAGACCAGATGATGTGTTGCTTTGTATGCCCTGCTAAAAGCAATGGGAGCCTTTCTAGAATCCCCTCTCGAAGAAGTATTTATAATTTGCAATCTACAACATTTCCAATTTGTAAAACCTAAAACATGTTTAAAACCTAGCAACCCTGCCTTACAGGGGGAAAGAGGCTCTGAGTGGTGAATTGGTTTCTAAGATGGTATCTATTTACAATTTAAATGTGATGTTTGGAACAGTTGGCAATAAGGACTTGGAGCAAGTGAGTTAAAACCAGATCTTTCTCTCCTATTTTATCTTCCAATCATGCTTATACTTCAGTGAAGTACACCAGTACTAGGGAGAAGAATGGGCTTTTTTAAAAAAAAATGCATCGTGTTGAGCAAACGTGTACTTCTTACAGAGTGCCTGGACTGCAACTGCTCAAGGTCATTTTCTTTCCCATCCACGTGCACTCGTCCACTAAACGATTCACCTCACCTCACTCTTGGCTGTTGGCAGTAGTTGCTGCCTGCTCACAGATCTCGTCATGGCTGATGATCAGAGCTAGCCTCTCCTTGTCTAGTGTTTTCCCAGACAGGGCCTGGTGTTTGGCTGAGGTGCACTAGGACCCCTGGCCGTGGTGTACTGGATGGCATCAGTTCTGATGGGTCAGATGTCCATTCTAACAGGTTGGTGCTGGAGAGGGAGCAGTTGTTAAATATCTTTACTATCTCCCCTGCTCCGGACACCTAGATGCCCAAATATACAGCACGTAGTATCGAGGCAGGCCCTTTTGATTGACATCAGAATCAGGTTTGCAATGGAATAGGAGCTTTCCTTCCTCCTGTCACTTTAGCCCCAGGCTCCACCTCAGAGTCTGGAATGCTCATACCTATGGCAGGTGACCTTGTGTAACAGGTTGGGGTTAATGCCATTCTGTCCTCCAGCATGGCACTGAACTTAGCTGGACTAGAGGGACATTTTGGGGAGATGTGCTCAGAGTCCTCCTCTGGTCCTCCTCATTCACCTTCTGTCTTTCTAAATGACTGATGGAGAAACTACTAAGGCCAGACCAGGCTCTCAGGAAAACTCTGGGCCTTTAGAAGAACCACTGGGGATGAGTTGGTCTTCAGATATATTCGTTAACATTATTAGCTCAGGGTAAAAAAAATAACTCAGAGGACAGGGCAGTCTAGCACAATGGTCAAGAGCATGCATGGGTTTCGGCCTTCCACAGAGCTGCTTTATCACAAGTTTATCAGCAGGGTATACAACCTCTCCAGGCCTCGGTTTCTTCATCAATAAATGGGGATAGAAATGGTACCTACCTTAGAGGGTTCTGGTGAGGATCCAGCAAATGTGTTTCAAAGCAGTTAGCCTAGCATCTGGCTCACAGAGCTCTACAAACAGTGCCACTGGCAGGTGACCACTGGATTGCCATGAGGCTGGAATGTGTTAACATCTATAAAGCACTTGGAGTAGCTCTTAGCTCTTAGGAAGCACTCAGTAAATGCTAACCGTGATCATCATCTTCACCGTTGTCATAATTGCTATTGTTATCTTTACTAGTCACTCAACTTCTCTTTAACAAGATTTCTGTAATTCCTTTATGGGTAGAGGAACTAATATGAGGATTAGGACATTGGGTTACAAAAGAGGAGACCTGTGCAAGCCTGCTCTGCCCTTAACCAGCCAGGCTGTGATCTCAGATTAGTGATGTTATTTCTCAGTGTCAAATTCACCCTAGCTGATAAAAAGGAAAGGTTTCTACAGGGAGAGCCCTATGCTCTCTTCTTGTCCCAAGGCTCAGTGAGTTTCTTTCTTTCTTTTTCTTTTCTTTTTTCTTTTTTTGAGATGGAGTCTCGCTCTGTCGCCCAGGCTGGAGTGCAATGGCGTGATCTTGGCTCACTGCAACCTCTTCCTCCCAGGTTTCAAGCCATTCTCCTGCCTCAGCCTCCCGAGTAGCTGGTATTACAGGCACCCGCCACCATGCCTGGCTAATTTTTGTACTTTTAGTAGAGATGGAGTTTCACCATGTTGGCCAGTCTGGTCTCGAACTCCTGACCTCAGGTGATCTACCTGCCTCGGCCTCCCAAAGTGTTGGGATTACAGGCGTGAGCCACCGTTCCCGGCCAGCTCTGAGTTTCAACTTTGCCCAAGGATGCTGTGTGTGCCCATCACTGTGCCAGACTCAGGAAAATATTTATCCAACAGATGTTTATTGAATGCCTTGTGTGCCCAGTTCCATGGACACCATGATGGGCAAGACAGCTACGCCTCACAATCCCCTAGTGGAAGTTACACTCAAGATTAAAGGCCAAGAAACAATCAGAAGATTTTAGCTTACAACTTGGTCGAATTGGATCTAAAACTTGGGAGTGTGCATGAATTGATCAGGGCCTATTTTACCAAAGCCCCACCCAATTTCTGACTTAGAATTTGAATTCACTCCTTGGCTACCAGGCAGGACTCTCTAGGTGCTTTGCAGAGAACTTATCTTTCTACATTTTGTTTTCTTAGTCAGCTCCAGCTCAATGAGAGCAAGAGAGTCAGAAATGGAACTTTGGAAAATAATCACTAAGGAAAAGAGATGTGTGTCTCAGAAAACTCCCCTCAAAGAAAGCCCTGCCCCTCAATTCATGATGTATAACTTTTCAGGCAGGACAGGACCTCTGAGACCACCACATTAAAAGCCTCATTTTATAAAAAAAAGAGAATCAAAAGCTTCAGAAAAGTAAATCTCAGTTTTATCCCTCCAGATAATACACATGTAATTCACTTTCTTCTTTCACTTTTTAAAATTCCTTAATCCTTGAAAAAGTTACCCCCAAAAGAGGTTCCTTCTATCTTTCCTTCCTTCCAACAGATCACAGGGTCCCACTGTTCATTACTTTCCAGAAACAGCCATCCTTTTACAGAGCCATCGCTTTCTCCCAGGGGCCGACACGCGCAGATCATCTGTAATCCTCCCTAGCACAGGTCCGGAGTGAGTTGGGGATGGAGGGGCAGGGCTGGTGCAAAAGCCTCTTGTGCCTGAGTATGATTCGAGGTCTCCAGGAAGGCATATGGTGAGGAAGGCGGAGCCCTCTTGACGCCCCTCACTGGCCACTGTGCCAAGGCTCTTATTGGGCACTGAGCCCAGCTGCCCAAAGTTGGGGTAATTCCAAGAATGAATTTAGTGTTAAAACCTCACTTGTGCCGGGAGGGGTGGCTCACGCCTGTAATCCCAGCACTTTGGGAGGCTGAGGTGGGCAGATCCCCTGAGGTGATTGAGACCAGCCTGGCCAACATGGTGAAACCCCGTCTCTAATAAAAATACAAAAATTAGCCTGGTGTGGTGGCAGGTGCCTGTAATCCCAGCTACTCGGGAGGCTGAAACAGGAGAATTGCTTGAACCCGGGAGGCGGAGGTTGCAGTGAGCCGAGATTGTGCCACTGCACTCCATCCTGGGCGACAGAATGAGACTCCGTCTCAAAAAAAAGAAAAAGAAAAAAAGAAAAGACAAAAAAAAAAACAAAAACAAACAAACAAAAAGAAACCCCTCACTTGTAAGCAGACAGAAGGTGCTGTTGGGATTCCCATGCTCTGCCCATGTGTTTACTCCTCCAGCCATGGTGAATCCCAAAATATGCCTCCATTCCTCTGGATTAAACATGTGTGGGGCTGACCGTGGGTGGGGCAAGAGTGCCCATCCCAGTCGAAAGGCATATGCAGTGTTGACCTAAGGCAGCTACATCAGCCTGGGAGAGAGGGTGTCTTAGGCCTGGTCAGGACTGGTCAAGCCAGTGGTCAGCCTGGGACGAGAGGCAAGAGAGGGAAGGAAGATGCCACAGGAGGTGACACATCGTACTTGTTTGACCGTTTTTTCCTAGGATTGGCCCAGCAGAGACAGGATAAAAAGAAGCAGGGAGCACTCAAGTGAGACAAGTCCCCGGGGTGCGTACATATATGGGAACAACCTGATGTGGGGAGCGTAGGCTTCACCGTGCATTTGGCAAGAAAGTGCAACATTATGTGCAAAGTGATCTCCTGATTGCATTTTAAAAATTAAAAGTTCCCAGCATGTGGAAGGTATTTGGTAAGAATTCAGTGAATGGCTGACCTAGGGGTGCCTGGATAAGCACAGCACTTATGTTTTTATAACAGGACAATGGGCAGCGCCGGGCCTTCCCTCTCACATGGGCAAAGGTCAGCAAGTGATCTGAGCCGGGCAGTGCCCACATCCGGAATCAGAAGCCGGAGAGCCTAGAGGAAGGCCCTCCTCACCGCATCTTCCATTACCCCAAGACGTGACTTGCCCGATTTCCTTTCCAATCCACGTTTCTGAGGCGAGCAGCTATGAAAAGTAGCATGTTTATCTCTGCGTGGGAATTGGTGGCACGTTGTGTATTAACTGCGCAGCATTTGTGAAAGTTTTCAGAGCTCTTGGGGAAACCGAGAATGAGAGGAGAAAGAGGCAGGGAGAGGGGTTCTGGAAGCCCAGCGGAGTTCACAGAAGGAATTCCAGGGAGATGGGCAGGGGCAGGGAGAAAATGAGAGCAGGAAGCGGCACTTGTCACAAGTTTTTGTCCTTGGGGCCTCGGCATCCCGCCTGGGCCCAGGACTGGCATCTCCCATTTGAGGGACTGACAGTGTGGCGGACCCTCAACTAGCACAGATAACAAATGAAGTAACAAATGGGACAAAGGAGGGGCGCACGCGGCGCGGGACTCGAGAAGAGCGCCTGGCAGAGCACAAATCCCACAGAAGAAGAGACCTTCTGCCCTCTTTGAGACCTCACCTTCCCCTTGCCCAGGGCCAGGAAGCTCTCCTCGGGCCTCCTCAGAACCCCGGCTGCCTCCCCACCTGTCGTCTACCGCCCTTTGGAGGTTCCGGAGAGGGGCCCGGCCCGGCGAGCCGAAGGCTGCGGGGCGGGGCGCGAGTCTCAGCCCCTGGGACACACAGCCGGTGCGTCCCGCGCCTCAAGTGCGCACTCCAGGAAGTCCGGAGCCGGGAGGATCCGGGCTCGCGGTCCCACCCTACCTCTGGCGAGGTCGGGAGAAAAAAAGCGCCAGATCGCCCGCCTGAGGGCCCAGAAGCCCACCGGGCGGCGGTACAGACTTTCCCGAAATGTCTCCGTCTCCGCGCTGCGAGCGCACAGGAACCCAGGGTCGCCGGGGTTGCCGTGGCTTGGCTGAACGTCCAAAGCCAGGCGAGGGCGGGGGGTCTCAGTCCAGCTATGCGAGCCCTTCTCTAGTGGTGCCAGCTCCTACGCCGGGCTCCCGGGCCGGCGGGAGGCGCGTGTGCCTGTCTGTGTGTGCAGGGGACATTCCGCTTCCCAGTAGCCCATGCAGAACCCCGCCCTCCGCTCCGGCCCCAGGAACCCCTCCCCCAGCTCAGAGATCCCTGCGCGCCCCCTGCCCACTTTGCCAAGGCGAGAAAGCGGCCGTGCTGGAGACAAAGAAACTCCTGCCTCCCTCCACTCTCGGCCCCTCCGCCCGCCCGAGACACTCCCCGGCGCCCTCCCTCGACCCCGGCGACACTGCGCTTGGACACGCCAGGCAGGGGGGCAGGGTGGGCGAGTCCGCTTCCCGACGCGGGCCAGCTGGGGGCTTCCCGTGAACCCCGCCCGGGGACACCCCACAGCAGCCGCGCCCCCACCCTCCTCTCCCCAAACCGTCCCGGGCCCCTGTCGCCGCCACCTTCTGCCAAACCGTCCCCATCTCTCCAGCGGAGCTACAGCGGGGCGCGGCGCACACAAAGGGGGTCGGAGGGTGGAGAGTACAGAAGGAGGGAGAGATCCCGCCAGGGCTCGTGGCACGGGCCTGGGAGCAGCTATTTACCCGATTTCTTCTTCGATCTCTGAGATGTCTGCGAAGATGAGGAAGACCACGAGCAGCGTGAGCGCGGCCAGCATCCAGCTCCGGAACTGCAGCTGCATGGTGGGTTCGCGCCCGCCGGGACCCACGCGGGCCGGCGCGAGGAGCAGGGGCCGGAGGGCGCAGCGGCGGACGCCGGAGCCTCCGCGCGCCGCGCGCAGCTGGGCAGACACCCTGCGCTCCGGACGAGTCCGGGCCGGCGGCGGCAGCGGCAGCGGCAGCGGCAGCGACAGGCAGGGGTTGCTCAGGCGCGGCGAGCCCGCTCGCTCCCTCCCGGCTCCCGCCTGCCCCTCCCTCCCTCCTCTCCCTTCCCCCGCCCCGCGCCCGGCTCCGCGCGCAGTTTGACAGCTTTGCTCCGCGCCTCTGCTCGCCTCCTCCCACCAACTCCAGCGTCCAGGCGCTAGCCTTTGCTTCTCCCGCCTGGCTTTATTCAGCTCCCGAGGGCGCGGGGATGCAGCCGGACGCCACTCCTGGCCTAGAGAGACTGGGCTCTGGCCACCGCGAGCGACCGGGTACGGAGCTGAGCCCAGGGAAGTGCGCGCACCGCCCGGCGCACCCCTCAGGCTGGCAAACGCCCTCCCTCGCCCGCTCTTTGTCCAGCTCCCTCGCCTCCTCGCAAAGTTTTCTCGACACAAAGACCAACACCTGGGGACAGCCCCCAGCGCGCGGCGAGAAGGCGGTTTCAGCCAGGCAGATGTTTCAGCAGTTGATGAATTAGGAGGGGAGGTGGGGGAAGGGGAGGAGAGAAGAAATATCCAAGACAGGCCAACTTCAGTGAAGATGCTGACTACAGTTTGTGGGCGAGGCTCTCAGCCCTCGAGAAACCACTCCCTCCAGGTGCTGATCTTTATCTCCATTTATAGACCCGATACTGGGTCGGGAGAGCTCTCCGAGCTGCCCCCAGATCACGCAGTCCTGGCTGGAACCCTCGGCTAGAACCCCAATGGGAGACTCAGCGCCCGCCTTCCCTCCGCCCTCGCGGTGCTGACGCCGGGTGGCCTTCATCTCCCCAGTTCTTGGACTCTCAATGACCCTAAGATCAATAACCGCGGGAGGCCTGTCTTGATCAAAATGCCTTCTAGAAAAATATGGCTCCCACAAGGGGTAATGCCCCCCACCCTTCCGAATATTGTACACTTTCACAGCCTTAGACAGTTTAAGTCAAATTACATTTCACACCAACCATTGGCCAGGGGTGGGAAGGGCCCCATTAAGTTTTACTGGAATTAGATAATTACCTTTTATTTTCTTTGCACGAATTGGAACAATTCCTGAAATTAAGAAATGTAACTTTCCAGAAATGATCATCTGGTTTATGAAAGGGTCCTTTGGGTTTGAGTGTGGGGAGGAGGAGTCCTGTTGGAGAAGCTACATGGAATGTCCTAAGTGCTGGAAACCACACCCCAGTGAATGGGAGGGGCGTGTCGGCCTTATCCCCTGGACCACTCAGAGGAGTTTGGCGAGGGGCTGGCAGCAGCCAAGTCCCTTCATGGCGCCCCCGGGGATGTAAGAGGGCCTTCTGATTTTCTACCAAAGTACTGCTTGTGCCCAGAGCCCTTCTGCCCCTTCGTGTGTAAGGAGGGGCAGGAGGGAGGCTTCCAAGCCGGGGGCTGCTGCCCTTGTTGACCCTGGGAGCCAGGGCAGGCTCTCCCCTGCAGGAAGAGGTCCCATCACCCAGCCTGGAGAATGGATTAGGGAAGCAGCACAGCGTCAAGGGAGAGCTCTGCCTCACCTCCTTTGAGGAGTGCCAGGAGCAGATGTCTTTTCCCCAGAGGAAGCGTGTACTAATTCCCACCTCAGCGCTTCATTTCCTTCCCATTCCTTGGCGAAGTCAGCGCACCCTGCTCCTTTTACAGTAAGCACTTCGAAAATACCATGTATTTTTCTTGGGGTGAGGTTTTTCTGATGTGGAGAACAATGTTGGACGTCACTCTCCCTGTCTGTTAGAGGCAGGGATGAGACGTCAAAGGAGAGTTTCCCATCAGTGTGGCTGGCACGGGGTCTAACCATCCTTATTTCAAGTTTTCAAAATGCCAAAATCTTTCCCTTTGTCTTGCTTGAAGGGTGGTTTAGGAGGTGTGGAGTGGTTTTTGTCATCATTTTGCCTTGTTTTTCTGAAGGGAATGGTTGGGATACCTGAATAGGGAGAGGAAAGTACAGGATGCGCCTGGTATGCTGCTCTGTATTTGAATCGCTCCTCCACTCACTCCAACGTGCAGCAATATTTAACCTACCTTGTACCAGGCTCTGTGCTAGGAGCTAGAGACACCAAGTGGAGAGAGACACCTCGGGTTTCCTGCCCTCTAGTGGCTCACTGTTCACAAGGGAGACAGACATTCAGGTGTCTAATTATGATAGGGGATTTGAGCTGCAGTAGACCTAAGGTCTCCTGGCTCACTTATAATTGATTAATAAGATCCCCCAAAAGAGCAAGAAGAAACTGACCTTTCTCTCCTCTGTTCTCTGCTTCTCTGCTTCTCTACCTACTGCACTCTTACCATGCAGAACATCATGGAAGTGTTGCCGTGGTACTAAATTCACCAGGTCGGGTCAACCTCATTGCTGCAAGCACAATTACAACAGAGTCTATTTCCATTTCCTGTTAGGTGACCCACGATTACAGCAGAATCTATTTCCGTTTCCTGTTAGGTGGCCCATGTTCTCATCCCAGGCTCAGTCTTCCTTCTTTGCACCCACCAGACCAGAGTCATATGAGTGGACAGGAAACAGTGGAAGCTTTTGTTGAATGGTTCGATTCCATATAGAGAGATCCCTGTAATCAGACCCACAGAGCAATATCTCTCAAGTATACCTGCTCGGAAGTAGAGCTAGCTTCCTCACATAGACGCTGTCCTTGCGATGAGAGTCACTGAAGTGGGATTTTTCTTGGAGGGTGATGGGGGACCCTTGTGATCGTTGACTATAGAATACCTGCTATCTGTGATCACTTAGGTTTGGGTCTCGTTGGGCCAGCTCCTTTAACAAGTGATTGTGTACATACACCACCCGTTGCTGCCTCTGCAAAAATGAGTTTGTTCCTGGAATCTGGAAAGAGGAAGACTGATGAGATTGGTGGAGAATGTCAGACTGGTGATGTGAACTGCCACATGGGCATGTGCTTGGCTTGGCCACCCTGACCCCTCCCCTCCTGCTTACCCCTCTGTTTAAGCAAGTCTCTTTTCCTGCCTTGGATTTTCCAAGAAGCCCGAAGGTCCTACAGCCATCACTTCTGTAGACTAAGTCATTGAATGTTTGGGTTAAAATGAGGAAGTGGTGGCAAATTAAAGGCCATTACCACCCATTAACATTTTAACTCAAATTAATTGAGTATATAAGCTATTCAGGCAACTGGTAAGGCCCTGGGCAGTTTGTAGTAATGAGGGACAGAGGGCCAAGAGGCTTTTCAGAAGCTCAAAGGAGCCCAACAGGGTCACACATGGACACCCCTTCCTTGTGTCTGACACTGGCTGAGGGCATGTTTGTCCTTCTAGCTGCAACCTGGAGAATGGGGAACCACCCAAAGCCTGAATTCGTGGAAACTCTAAAACTGTATCTACCATTTACACATAGGGCTAAACTCCCCCTCTCCACCCCAGCTATGCAGAATCTTCACCTGAGCGACTTCTTGGGAGTAGTAAGGTCTGTATTGATAATAACTTGTCCAAGTGACTGGCTGGAAATGGGGGCAAGTCGGACGGGGGAGGGAGCAAGGGGGAATGGAGCTAACATTTGGGAGTGCACACAAGTTCAAGGCGCTGGCCTGGGCTATTTCTCTGATTTAATCCTGGCAATCCTTTCATATAGATATCATTATCTCCCTTTTACATTTGAGGAAACTGAGGCTCAAAGAAGCTGATTTCCTACCCTGACCCAGCAACATGTGGGACTGTGGGATGGCCAATATCCTCTTCCGCACGTGGGGCAATTCTAAATAGATTTGTAAACAGGCATCTTCTTTAATTCTGACTATGTGCCCTTAGTTCTGGCATGTGAGGATTCTGGGAACAAATCTATCTTCACTCACTGCACACCCTTCATCATTTGTGAGACTATAGTAATAAATCTCTGTTTTCATCTTTCCACATGGAAAAAACGAGTTATTTCAATCAATTCAGACTTAAAAAAACCTTAAGAATAAATAATAACAATCGCATTCAAAATTCTGACCTAACACCTTTGAACTCGCTCCAAGAGCAATTTAGAATGTGAAATAACTACAAAGTGGTAATGGTCTTGCTTTTTCATCATCTCTGAAGGGGGAACTGTATGTGTGTTGGGACTGGGTAGGATGGGAGGGTGATGTCAACAGGTAGAGTATCATAGTCGGGATACATTCATTGGCTATTGTGTTTCTGCACTGCTAATAAATGAGAGAATTTGCCTTATCTTGAGAAATTTACATTAAATTTGAGTATTCTCACAAATGCAACGTTTTCCGCTTTAAAATCAGACTCAGAGTGGTAAGAATATGGAAAAGTTAACGGGCACATTTGCATTCCTTTTGTAACTTTTTTTAAATAGCAAAATTATAGTTTAGCCAAGGAAAGAAAAGAAATGTACTCAGGCGATTGCTGTAAATATTTCCGAGACTATCAGCAAGAGATCTTGGGAGGGGTGTGAGAATGAGCTCCACAGCGAGCTGGAAGTGGTAGTGGGCAGGGGGATGGTTCAATGTTTTTTTGTTTGTTTGTTTGTTTGTTTTGCTGGGAGTTTAACAAACTCTTCAGCTGGCATTCAAGGCAGTATTGAACCAAAGCATGAAGTCAGGTACCAGACAACAGAGAAGAACTAAAAGGAATGTCCGCTCACGATTCTCACCAGGGCTTCGAGGAATGATCACTGTGATCTCAGTCAGACTTCCTGGCTTGCCCAACTTCTTGGCTTGCCCACCTTTGCCCAGAGTCCAGCATGGCCCCTTCCTTGTAGGCATCTGAGGAAACTGGCCCGTGTTGACCATCCCTGGCTCTCAGTCTTGTGCCACTTCTCTTAACCTTAGTTTGGATCATGGACCTCCACATTCTCAGAGCTGGAAGGGTTGGTGGAGATGGTGCTTTCCCACTCATTCATTTACTTGACAAGCATTGCTTCATTGCCTCTTACATGTCTGGAATTATGCTGGAGGGCTGGGATGTAGCAGCAAATGGGGTAAACGCAGCTGCTCCCCTGGTGGAGCTTGGAGTCCAATGGGATTTTCTAGATGAAAAACGCTGTGATGAGAGACCAAGAGACTTGCCCACAGTCCCACCACTTGTTTCAGAGCTGAGAACAGATTCTAGCTCTCCTGCCTCCTAGCTGAGTTCAGTTCTAGTTCTCCTTCATACATAATATTTTATTTCATGTTTGTGATACTTCAGTGAGATTGGAAACTCCGAAGGGATAGGGACTTTTATTCCTCTCTGGCCCCACATTATCTAGGAGGAAAGAACCCCAGTCAATACCTGTTCCCATCATGGTCAATTTCAAACCATCATCGTCACGTTGCTGAAGGCAGAGTTAGGAAAAGATGTGAACCGCCCAGCATGACACAGTATTCCCACCATATTCATACAAGAAACAAGATAACTTCAAGAACATAGATCATGGTCAAGGGTGGAAAATGAAATTAGGAAGTGATGAGTTCTGAGTATTTATTGCCTTTGTTTTTGATATAATTTATTGAACTTCAAGTTGATATATTTCCATTTTTAATAATGACTGTATTGAAGAGCCAGCATGAGCCACCTCCAGCACAAAACTAGGGACCAGTGGCAACAGGAGGTCGCCAAAGTCACAATGCCTTTGTGAGCATGCCAGGTGAAATACTGTTTCTAAAGTAAACTCGAAGCGGCATAGTCCCCAAAGACATGGCAGCGTTTGCCAGGATGTCGACCCGCTGGGATGTTGGCACCAAACACTGGACAGAGGAAGGAGACTCTTGGTGCCAAGTCAGTTTCTTGTAAAATGTCCCTTTGGGAATCCTCTTCCACTTCTCCCCTGCCTCAAATGCCATCTGTGTGGTTATACATCCTCTCTTCCCAGTCCTCAGATCAGATTTGTCAGAGCAGACTAGGGAAAACTGGGAGCGGGGGGGTGATCAAGAGACCAATTTGGCTGCATGAGTATACTAGTTTGGATTGGATTTGGCTACAAGGGACAATAAACCCAAAATGCTAGTGACTTATTCGAAACAGAAGTTTATTTCTTCTTCATGTGCCAGTCGTCCAGCAGGCAGCCAGCACTGGTTTTGCTGTGGTTAGTCTGCGAAGTCCTTAGGGATTCTGATCCTTCCAGCTTCCTTTCCACCATCTCCAAGGTGAGACTCTTTCCTCTTCTTCCATCAAATCCAGGTTCCAAGCAATAGAATAGAAGCAGAGATAATAAGGAAGAAAGAGGAAAGTTCCTGACACCTCCAGAGATGCTCCCATTTACACCCCTCTGTCTGGACCCTGTCCTGTGTCCCCCCGCCAGCTGCAAGGGATGCGGGGAACAAATCCTTATTCTGGGCTTCTGTGTGCTCAGCTAAGACTCAGTTTTGGAAGAAGGGAGGGAAAGATGGAGGGGGGTGGGGACAGCCGGTAGCATCTGCCACAGTGAGAATGGAGAAGCCCATCATAGGATTTTTCTCTCCCATCTTCAGCTCTGCAGGCAAGTCCTCACCGGCCCTGTCTTATGCTTGGGTGGAGCAAGGACTCGCCAGAAGTCACTCACCATTAATGACAGAGTTTGTGGGCAACAAAGCTCTTTCTGAAGCTGAGCTTCATAACACTGCATCTTCCTATTTCTTAGCATCTTACTCGGCTACGTTGATTTCTTTGTTTTCACTCCAGGGAGGCAATATAATGGTTTAGAGCAATGCTTTGGAAACTATTTGTGGCAAAGGACCGAATTTGTTTCTTCTTAAATCTCCAATTGATTTCAGAGTGAGTGTCCTACTATCTGAATGGTATTCAGTTCACACTAGGTGCCCCTCGCCAGCCATGCAAGTTGTGTGCCCCCAGACCCTTCATCAATAAGAGTCAGTGATTATGCACATCACAATGTGAAGTTGCCACAAAGGCATCTAAATGCTTGTCCTGGATTCCTACACTTATCTCAGCATTGACCAGTAATATACAGTTCATAGATCAGCACTGGTCCCTGGACCACACTTGAGTAGTTCTGGTTTAGAGTTGATTCTGAGATCACACCTATCGGGGCTCAGAACTCATCTTTATCTTTTGCTATTTGTGTGATCTTGGTCTGTTTTAGTTCCTTGATGTTAAATGGGAACAATAATAATACTTAATTCACAGGTTTTAGTAAGAATAAACTAAGATAATGTGTCTAAAGCACTTAGCAGAATGTTAGCATAAAGTAAGTGCTCATTTCATAGAGAACTTTATTATTTATGATAATGCAAAAATAGAAAGGATAAATATATATAATTTTTTATAAAACAGCAGTTATCTCAAGGTAGTAAAATTGGCATTGATCTTGATTTTTCTTCATACTTTTCTCTGTTTTATAAATTTTCTACAATGATCATTAATTACTCTGTAATCAGGAAAACAGTTATTAAAATTTGTTATGCCTATTTTCTCTGCACTGAGGTTCTTTTTTTGCCAGAGCTTAATATTCTTTCTCAATAAACGATATAAGCACACATATTTAGTAAAATTGGTTTTGCAGACAATTTTCAACCTTTCTTTGATGTTTTGTAAGCATCTACCTAATATTCATGTCGCAATTTTCAGGGGAGGAAAACAGGCTGTAACACATTCCCCCATTGGGCCAAAAACCTTGGAGACACTTCAGGGCTCCTTTCTTACATCCTGTTCACCTTGTGACGACCTCATCATCACCCAACCTGGATGTCTCTGTTCATGGCTGAGAATCACAGCAAACCCCCAGCTTTTGGAGTGAGGGGGCGATTCAAAGAAAATACGCGGTGGCTTCACATCCACGTGGTGTCCCAGTCTCAACAGCAAACGCAGGCAGAGCGGGCTATGTCCCCGGCTACCTCACCATCGCTCAGACACCACTGCTGGTGATTTCGTGCAGGAAGCAACACAGAAGATACATTAACATGGGGGAGGGGTAGACAAGTATGAGGATCATAATAAAGAGACTTTCCAAATCTCCACAAATAAAGTCCTTGGTGAGGTCTTCCAGTCATCCCGCACTGCTCAGCTCTCTGTGAGAATAATTATCGTCACCTTGAATGCAGCAGCGTGGAGACTACTACATATTTTGGAATAACGTTTTTTCTTTGCTAGGAGAGAATTTATTGAGATAAAAAAGACGACAGTAATTTAATTTTCCTTGGACGGTTTCTTAGAGATCTGTAAAATCCAAATGGTCTCAAACTCTTCCAAACTCTAAGCGGGCATTATAACTATTTAGCATTTATTAGTGTTAACATTTGTTTGGAAAGACTATCTTTATGACCTAGTAGTGTTGCATGCTTTTGTGTTACAAATATTCCTTAGGGTACATTGAAATCCCAGATATAACTGAGGCATAGAGTAAATGTTTACTAACAGGGAGATAATTTTGGCAATTCTATATAGGGATCTATAACTGTGTATCTGCCTCTATGTCAACATGTTATAATATGGTAATAGCTATGATTTATTCACTTCCAAATCCTTGGGCAGTAACAGAACCCTCCGTTATATCCTTGATCCAATGGAGAAAATGCAGTCCATCTTGGAGGTTTCTGGAAATTCACTGAGATGACAAGAGGGCACTGCATTGCTCTTAAGGTCTGAAAGCAGTTCAGTAAATTTCCCTAAAGTGGCCCTGGGAAAAGCCATGGCCTCAAGCTATCTGACATCACTGGGAGGTAGATTGGGCTCATCACAGCAATCCCTGTGAGCATCTAAGTTACTCACACACTGAGTCAGAGAAATGCGTGTGACTTTCCCAATATAGCAGAGCATGGGCCGGAGAGAGATCAGGAAGGCCAGCTTGAGCTTCTAGTTTTCTTCCCAAGGGAAAAGACTGGGAGTCTTAGAGGAGGAAAGGCTCTAGAGGTGGTTATCATACCCCTCTAAATCCCCATAAGATCTTTAGCCAAACTCTCTCAATTTTACTGGAGGGACCCACGGGCTCAAGTCCATCAGCTTTTGGCTGTATGGGGAGAGTTCAGGAATGCAGAATCGGTAACAGTTAGATGCCCTGGAGGACTTTCTTAACCGATGTCCTTCTCTTTCCCTTTTTTTGGTCTGTGTGAATAATCCACATTTAGGCCAGCAAGGATACGTTTGAGAATACTGCATTTATGTTGCAGTTTTTAAGGTATAAGGGACTTCATCCGGCATGAGGACCACTTACATTTTCTAATGTTGTCTTTCTACCTTTCCAACTGGATTGCTAGCTTCCTGGCTCTCGTGTATTTTATAAAGCTCTTATTTTCTGTAGTGCAGCTCATTTCAAAAGGTAATATTCACTTGTGGCTCAAGGCCTAGCAAAAGGAAACCCATCCTCTCCTGCCCTTCTTTCCCTCTGGTTTCCAGCCTCTGGGAGGAACAGACTCCTCCCTGCAGGATGAGTGCCCGCAGCTCAGACCACAGCTGGCCTCTGGCAGAGGTGTGCCAACAAAGGAAGAAAACAAAAGCCAAGCTGCATTCATTTCAAGCTCCATTAGGGGCATGCATTGGGGTGAGGAAATCAGTGGGGAAGATGAAACTGGCAGGAAAAGAACTTCTTTTTCTCAGTCTCTACAATGGAATTCACCACAAATAATGGTAGGGCAGAAATCACTAAGCAACACCCATTTTAAAAATAGATAAATGTAAAAATCACATCCAATAAACATTTTTGGGGTCATTTCCAAAACATAGCTAAAAAAAAAAAAAAGATAACTGCCACTTTGTTCTTTTCTTCTTTACATGGCAAAATACCAGCCAGGACCCAGGATTACGGTACCCAGCCAGCCTTTGTGAACATCAGGTGCTTTGCATGAGGTACGAATTGTTGTTCCGAGGTTTGCTGCAGCCATTTGAAAGGATAAACTCTTAAGTATCAATAATATTGATGAATCATCATAATTTGCTAGAGAATAGAAAAACATTTTATAGTTTTGCTTTCAGAAGCCAGTAAAGAGAGAACTTCCTTAGGGAATGGTTAACCACTCAAAAGTCCTCCTCATTCTCTGACCATTACAATATAAAAGGTATTTTGAGAAAAGATGTGAACAGAAGTATAGTTTTGATGTTTGTAAATAGTCTCCACAGAATCAATTCTTACCCTGTTTTCATGCAACTTTTGAATCTATGGGAAGTTCCATAGAAGGAAGATTTTTTTTTCTCTCTTTCTCTGTTTCTCTATATCGGTCATTTGCTTTCTTTTATGCGGTTAATCTTGGCTGTCTTCATTTTCAAGGATTGGGTAGGTTTTCTCCTGCTGTTGTTGTCCTGCTGTAATAGCGGAGGGGGGCCACCAGGTGACACTGTGCTAGACGAGGGGCCCCGGAAAGACAGCGGACTTGGTCTGAGCCAGTGGCAGGTAAATCCTGGGGCAGGGAGGGGTCAAAGGAGAAAGTGAGAGGATGAGAATAGGAATTTGGAGAGGTTACAACCAACTGGAGGGCAAGAATCTTGCCTTTTGCTTATCGACTAACCTGAACTCCTGGAAGCCAGTTTCAATCACCATATAATTGGAACTGAGATGAAAAGTGGACATATTGTCTGTGGAAATCAGTATTCAAGGCAAACAAATCGAGGGGAGATGCACCTGTATCATCAAAACTTGGTTGGAAAGTCCAGGTAATCTCTGCAGATGGGTCTTTTCATTAATGCTGCTAGCCTTGGTGAAGAAATTAAATTTGAGCAGTTCTTCCAATAATCAATAATGAAAATCGGTAACAGATTGACACCTTGCATGATCAATGAAAATTAATAATACTTTGACACTTTGCACTATCCCTGATTTGGGCACAACCAGAGTAGGTGTGCATTTCTAGCTGTTTACATTTAAAAGTTAAAAAATATAAATTGTCTCCACTTTGCCCAGTTATCCTTATAGTATAAAATTAGACCGAGAGTCTTTCTCTTAATGCCCCCACCCCCTACTCTCCAAAGGAAGGTATATAAAACAGTAAATCCACTTTCTTGGGGGAGGAGGAGGGGGGTTACATTAACACAGCATTTGTATTCATGAAGTCTGCACCAAACATCAGGTAGTTACTAAATATCTTCCCCTTATGTACCCTGCACTGTGCCCAGCACTCTGGTAGTTAAGAAATAGAAGCCATAACTTTCCCTCAGAGTTTTTGCAAAAAGATCCCTTATTCAATTATGGGGTGATGCTTGTCACATGTTGCACAGATATAGCTGCACCTAACCCCTCATTAACTTAATGGATTCCTATAGTCAGTTCTCCAGGGATGTGGAATTGAAGCTGCTGAGATTCACAGAAAGTGTGGGTGTATTTATAAATGCATCTCCCATTACTCCCAGGTTCTCAAAAGGAGAGAGCTCTGTTCCCATAGCAGGTAAGGAGAAAGTGAACACTGTAGCAAGAAGCTGTCATCATTTGTTCATTCAGTTATGCTTTTTATGACACCTAGTTTTGCATCCCAAGAAGAGAAAGTCTGGTCATTTTTGTGTTCTTTGTCCATCTTGGAGTTCCTGATGGCCCACTTTGTATGATTTTTTATGTAGTAAGGACTGAATATTTTACTACACACGGTCACTTGTATGAGCCAATTGGCTTTGCTTAGGAAATGCTTTTGTTTCATGATCAGAGGCAACAATTCTACTTTTTAAAAATTACCAATTGTTTCTCAGGAATAAATCATGGATTATAAATTCATAGCCCACATATAATCTGAGCCACAAAAATATTTTGTTGGCCCAGCAACGTGTTTAAAAATGTTTTTGAATATGAAGGCCTTCAGTGGGCCATAGACATTCCAGTTCTTTACAGGGTCCCCACTTTTTGGTGATTTACATCTAGCCTGACTCACATATGAGAGGTTTTCAAAATGTTCATGAAAAATACATATTATGAAAAAAACTATGCATGGATTTCAAAAATTTGTTGCAAGAAAATAAACTCATACTAACTTGTTATAACATGTCTGAACAGGATCTAGATTGAGGCACTAAGAAAGATAAGACCTCAGTCTGAAAAGAGCCCCTATCAGAGCAACATGAATTCTGCTAAAATTGAAGCAAGAGCAAACATCAAATTTATAGTGAAGCTTGGATTGAAGTATGGTAAAATAACTGATGCTTTACAAAGATTTTATGAAGCCAATGCCCCCAAAGAAATTAGCAGTTTACAAATGAATAATGTGTTTTGAAGATGAAGCCTGCAGCAGCAGATCATCCACATCAATTTTTAAGGAAAAAAATTAATCTTGTTCATGTCCTAATTGAAGTGGACCAATGATTAACAGCCAACACCAAAGACATCTCAGTTGGCTCAGCTTACATGTTTCTGACTGAAAAATTAAAGTTGAGCTAACTTTCTACTCAATGGGTGCCAAGATCATTGCACCCAGGTCAGCTGCAGACCAAAGCACAGCTTTCAATGGAAGTTTTAAACAAGTGGGATCAAGATCTGGAAGCATTTCTTTGAAGAATTGTAGCAGGAGTTGGAACATGGCTTTACCAGCATGATCCTGAAGACAAAGCACAACCAAAGCAATGGCAACCAAGAGAAGGAAGTGGTCCCATTAAAGCAAACATGGATCAGCCAAGAGTGAAGGTCATGGCAACAGTTTTTTGGGATGTTCAAATCATTTTGCTTGTTGTCTTTTTGGAGAGCTAAAGAATGATAACATCTGCTTAGATGAGAGCGTTTTGAGAAAGTTAGCCACAGCTTTAGCCTGAAAACTGCTGGGAAAGTTTCACCAGAGAGTCCTTCTTCACCACAAAAATGCACCTGCTCACTCCTTATCAAACAAGGGCAATTTTATGATAATTTAAATGGGAAATCATTTGGAATTCACCTTATAGTCCTGATCTAGCTCCTTCTGACTTCTTTTTGCTTCCTAATCCTAAAAGAAATCTGTAAAGGGCACCCATTTTTCTTTAGTGAATAATGTAGAAAATATTGCATTAACATGTTAAATTCCAAGGACGCTACGTTGTTTAGGGATGGATTAAATGGCTAGTATTATCACCTACAAAATTGTCTTGACCTTCATGGAGATTGTGTTGAGAAATAAAGTTTATTTCTTCCTCTTCTTCTTCTTCTTCCTCTTCTTCTTCCTCTTCCTCTTCTTCTTCTCCTTCCTCTTCTTCTTCCCTCCTCCTCCTTCTCCTCCTTCTCCTCCTCCTCCTCCTCCTTCTTCTTCTTCCTCTTCTTCTTCTTCTTCTTCTTCTTCTTCTTCTTCTTCTTCTTCTTCTTCTTCTTCTTCTTCTTCCTCTTCTTCTTCTTCCCTCCTCCTCCTCCTTCTCCTCCTTCTCCTCCTTCTCCTTCTCCTCCTCCTCCTTCTTCTTCTTCTTATTTTTAGAGACAGGATCGTGCTATGTTGCCCAGGCTGGTTTCAAACTCCTGGGCTCAAGCAATCTTCCTTCCTCAGGCTCCTGAGTAGCTGGGACTACAGATGCATGCCACTATGCCTGGCTTCTATTTTTATGTTTCAGTTCCATGTTTTCCACGAACGTTTTGAAGTCCCCTCACACTTGTGATCTCTGCCTGGCTCCAGAGGCATCTGGGAAATGGAACAGCATAAAACCCACATATGTACTTCATTAAGGATGGACCAGAACCTTCTCATATAACAGATCTAAAATAAATGGGGATAAATCCCATACACTGTTCACAACATGGTAAATTGGAACAACTTCTCTTGAGGGCAATTTGGTGATATAATAGAAGCCTTGTTATATGGGGTTCCCATTATGTAGGGTGATTTGATAGTAAGAATGGAATATACAGACCCACCAGAAGGAGGCTGGCTTCTCCTGCACATAGGCATGCCCTGGAAAGAGAAGCATGCTTTACCACTGGGAGGAAGGGAGAGCTCTCGCCAATCTAACAAGTCCTTTATTTGGAGATCAATTAAAAAGATTTCATAAAGTAACAAGTCTTTAAAAAGAGCATTGTCTTCCAACTCAACAATGCCACTCATCTCTAGGAATTCTTTCCCAAGAAAATATATAAATGAGTGTGGAAATGTTTAGATACAAGGATGTGCATAACAGCATCACTTGTAGAAATAAAAACTGGAAAAAAATCTCATGTTCAGTAGTAGGGCTTGGTGAATAAATCATGACAGTGATTCAATGGAATACTATGCAGCCATTAACAACGATATACAGACGACTGTTATGGATATAGAAAGTCATTTGCATTTTAGAAATTTGAAGATTATCAAACAGCACAATTCCACCTTTGTGAACATAAATATGCACATATTTAATGTGGTGGGCAGCCTCTAAGATGGTGCCCAATGACATCTCTCTCCTGGTATTCACAGCTTTATGTAATCTTTTTCCCTTGAATAATTTGTTTCTAACTGATAGAATTTTGCAACATCGAGGAAATGTCAACTCCATGATGAGGTTACAGATTTGGTGACTTCCATCTTGCTCTGAGACTCCCTCTATTGTCTTCTTGGCTTGCTCACTTTGATGAAGCAGCTTCCACGTGGAAAAGGTCCTCATGGCAAGGAAAGGAGGGTGGCTTGCCACCAACAGCCATTGGAAAAATGAGGTTCCAGTTCAACAACCCACAGAGGGGAACTGAATCCTGCTCACAATCACTGAGTGAGTTTGGAGAGGGATCCTTCCCTAGCTGAGCATTCAGATGAGACTCCAGCCCAGGGCAACACTTTGATTGCAGCCTCTTAAGAGGCTGTAAAGAAAATAACACAATTTATTCATGGCCAGTTGAAGACAATGCTCACTTACTACGAGATAATGTGCGTGTTGTCTGAAGCTGCTAAGTTGATGGTAATTTGCTACATGGTAAGAGAGAATTGACACCCAGGTCAAGAGGTCTGGATACTACAAAATATTGGACGTTGTTATGTCTGGAAGGCATAAATGTAGAATTCTTAAAATGTTTGGGGGCTAAAGATCACTTACATATGGTACTGGCAGGCTTTTATATTTTATTCTGATGAAAAAGTTGAGATTTTGACATTGTCATTGAATAAACAGAAGGGTGACTTTAACAGTTTACAATTTGTTTGGTTGATTTCATATTCTTATGACAGAGCTATCATGTCTTCAAGACACACTATGTTTATGGTGGTAGTGGGGGGTTGTGATTTGAGGTGACTTTAATTCACATTCTTTTTTTCTTTTTCTTTGGCACACGTTGGGTTCTCTGGAGGTAGACACTGAGATGAATGAAGTATGGGTTACAAGATGTTTATTAGCTATCAACAGTTGTGGAAAGGAGGGAGCAGAAGCAGCATTGAGTGGAAGGAGATCAGCCCTTCTTACCGGGGACAGCCACCTCTGAACATCTTAGTGATGTTGGTGCCCCTAACTCCTGGCCTTAGAAAATGGTATCTCCTTTGAGTCTTTCTTAGCACATCTGTTGAACATTGGAACATCTGTTGTATCTTCTGGCTGCACATGATATATTTACTCCAGAATGCCTACTTCGCAGAGCCTTTTAATCCCTTCCTGCAGCATCTGCCATGCAGTTCTGGTATTTCAACTTCACTTCGCATGAACTGTCACTTGTTCCGTGTTTCTAGGGTCCATCATAGTAGCAAGTTTGCATCATTTCCCAGACTTCTTGACAAGGTGTATCTTGGGAGAGAGCTCCCAAATCAATATACTCTGCCTGAGCCATGTTCTCACCCCACTGATTGAACACCCATGGTCACTGATTAAACACCCCCCCTCCTGCTAGCACATCATGGCTAGAGCTTACAGCCTGTTTGGGATATAGCTCCTTTCCTCCTGTAACAGGCCCACAGACTGGTTATGTTGTGACTTAGCCCTATTACAGGCCTAATGGGCAGGAGAGGAGGCAGGGGCAAATCCTGAAAGGGTTGTATGTTGTCTAATGGGGAAGCAGCTTCTGCATTAAATCTTAGACCTTCATAGGGAGGGTTAGGACTTTTTTTTTTTTTTTTTTTTTTTGCAGGTGTGGAGAATTCCGAGGAATCTGGGAATTCAAAATTCCAGAAGCATCTGCCTAGATATTCTCATTCCAAAAATGTGGGCCTGATTTTTCCCACTCCAGGACCCTGTCTTTAACATAACAGAGCTGTTTTGGTTGAGGACTGAACTTCTCTGGAGTTTGTCTGCTCTTACTATGAAGTCCTGAGCCTGGGCCTCAGCTTTCTCTGTCCTCCCACTGCAGGACATGAAAGCCTCTTTGTTAGGTACCAGGAAGGTCCTCTGGCTTTCATACTTGCCTTTCAATTGTAGCTTTTCAGGAACGTTTTCTGGAATATCAGTGGTGCTTAACAATAGCCTTTCAAGCCATTATCCTTATAGTTATAGTCCTATAGTCCCACCCCAGTACGTACTTGTGGTCAGTTGCTCCATCAAATGTATTGTCTTCCATTGTCGTGCCATCCCAGCTCATCAAAGCTGAGAGTTTTAACAACTGGACTGCTACCTCATGCCGGAGGCTGTCCATGCTCCACCCACCACCAGTGATGGGGTCCTCATTGCCAGCTGGCAGCCAGTGCTCCTCCTCAGAAACTCCAGCCTGCTTTCTTGAACCACCCCCAGTACCAATTATCCTAGGTTGCGTTCTCTGAAAGCAGATGGGATTTTTATGGGTACTAACACCCATGAGAGGAAGGGAGAGGCAGCAGGTTTGGGCAAAGGAAGGAGTAAAGCTTGAGTGCAGGCTTGATAAAGCCTTTGCCCAGCCCCGGGAGCTCTGGAGCATGCATGGCCCAAGTTGTCCCCTGTTGGACAGAAATAGCCAGGCATCTGTGATGAGTCACGGGATGTAGGCTTCCCTGGGAAGGGCATGCTCATGACTGAGCAGCTTTCAGGAGCTGAAAGATCTGACAGCTGGAGCTATCAGCCCACGGCACCCCCAGCAGCTGGGGCAACCAGTCTTTTCTTGAATGGGAATCTGGGTGGGGCGTCGTCGTGTTCACCACACTGCTGAAATGTAATTCTTCATTTTGCCCTACAATGTCCATGTGTTACTTTTCTAACTAAATTAATAAAGAAAGAAAATAAGATAAAATTTATTTTTCTATTTCAGGGTGGAATTCAAATCAGATCACCCCCCACCTCCACCTCTTTTTTTTGAGACAGAGTCTTGCTCTATCGCCCAGACTGGTGTGTATTGGTACAATCTTAGCTCACTTCAGCCTCGACTTCCTGGGCTCAGGCAGCCCTCCCACCTCAGCCTCCCAAGTAGCTGGGACTACAGGTGTGCACCACTAGACCCAACTAATTTTTTTTTTTTTTTTTTGTAGAGGCAAGATTTCGCCATGTTTCCTAGGCTGGTCTCAAACTTTTGAGCTCTGAGATCTGCCCACCTCGGCCTCCTTTCAAAGTGCTGGGATTGTAGGCATGAGCCACTGCACCTGGCCCAGGTCACCCTTTCTTACTTCTATTATTTGCTTTGTGAGAATACTGATTTGGTGGTAATTTCTAGTGTGTATGGGAGCACGCGTGACCAGGATTCCAAGCATCAGGTTACAAAGGGTAAATTCAGTCAAACCGGTTGATGAGTAGATCATTCTAGCATCTCTGCAGAAGCCACTGCTGTTTCAGCCTCTCTTGGGTTGACTAAATCAAGTGCATCTCATGTCACGCAGGAAGGATTCACATCTAATGGCCAATCTATGGTTTGGGCCCTGGTGGGTAGTGACATCTTATGTCCTTAGGGAAGACAGTGAGTGACAGGCAGCTCCGGACCCCATCTCAGAGTAGTGCTCACTTGCCCATGTTGTGATTATTTTTAGAGTTATCTTTTTTGGCTGGCTTAGATTCATGTAGCCATTGGAGCCAGTCCCTTTACACAAACACTGGCTTATTAACCTGGGGCAATCAAAGGGAGGGGGTGTCAATCTTCCTTCTCCCTGTTATCACGTTGAAACTTCTTTTTCTGTGAAAGTTCTTATGGAAGGAAATTAGCAGAAGGCATTTGCTTTTGAAGATACAAAGACCAGCCTGGGGCCTCACCCCTGCTTCTGCCTAATTACATCTCTTTTCCAATAAGAAAAAAGTCACCTCCTGAAAAGACGCTTTGTGGAGTAACTAGGGAATTAATTTCTTTCTAATAAGTATCAGAAAACAAATCCAGAGAAAGGAACAACTTGAACAATTGTGGAATGTCTATCTGGGGGAGGAAACAGAGCACAGGACTTGGTGACAGTCAGCCTCAGGGTAAATGGGTTTCAATGCCACCTACTAGTCTGAGACCTTGGTCAAGTCATAGAAACTCTCTGAGATTGAGTTTATTCCTCTAAACAGCCAAGACCCTGGCAGTGGTGCAGTCCTCTGTCCCCTTTCATAGTAAATGTCCTTGAATGGGATGCCAATTCCCTGTCTTCTCCACTTCCTCGTCCTTTATGCTCATTCTCCCTCAATCACTTGCAGACAGTTTCGTCCCCGCCATGCCTCTGAAAGTGGCTTCTTTTGTTTCACCAGTAGCTTTCATCTTGCCAGCCAAAGAGTCCATTGTCTATCTCCATCAAACAAGACCTCCTGCAGCCTCTGACTGCATCAGGCCCTCCTTCTCTTCAGACATTCCCACCTCAGGCTTCCAGACAGTCCATCCACTTTCTAGGATGGCCCCTTCTTCTCTAGGTCCTTGACTATTTGTTCTTTCTCTGGTCAAAAAGGGCTCCATTCTGAGTCTCCTAATACCTTCTGCAGCTGCATGCTGTCTCTGACAATGCTATCTTAGGAATTCAAGGCTTTCAATGCCATCTGTATGATGAAGACTTTCACATTGAGATCTTCCTCTCCAACCTCACCCCTGAGTCTCTGTCTCAGGTGTGCAACTGCCTGCCTCACACTTCCACAAAAATGTGTCATCCTCACCTCAAACATAACTCTTGTTTTTTTTTTTCCTGTCTGTGCTGGATGGTCTGCTGGCAACTCAACACCATTCTTCCCTTTATGCTCTGCCCCCGATCACAGGGGCTGGGCATCTGTCAATTACATTCCCCAGAACCCCTGCCTATGGGCTTCCAGTTTAGAGCCCACCAGTAAGAAGCATCTGTGTGAGATTTGGAGGGAGGAAAATAAGCAGAAGCCAAATAATTGTTCCTCCTGGACCTTAGGCAACGAGGGGGTGGCTTCCAGCCTTTTTCTATGAATCATCTACCTCTGAAGCTGAAATTATTGCAAGAAGTTTTCTGAATTTCCTGCAACTTCCTATCTTTTTGAAAGCTGGAGGTGAACCAAGCTAGCAGAGGCACCCTCCCATGACCTGTGTTTCCCCCCTACCACTCCTTTTATGGGTTTTAAAGCACTTATTACCTTAAATGCTTTCCTGCCTAAAATACCTAAAATTGCTTCACTTCTGATATATCCTCTAAATCACCACTCTTCAAATATTACCATGCATCGGAAATGGAAGAAACAGGAGGCATGCTAAAGCAGGTTGCTGGATCCCTCAAGTTTCTGACTCAGTAGTTCTGGGGCAGGGCTGGGTAATTCTCATCCTGCTGCCCTGGGGGCCACACTTGGGGAATCACTAGTCTAAACCTTTGCCATCTCAGTTAATGGTGCCACAATTTACGCAGTTTCTTAGGCCAAAACACCCAAGAGTCATCCTTGATTCTCTCTTTCATTCATAGTCATGACCAGGATCTTGGATATCTAGATGAAGAAATGGGATTTTAGAGAGTTTCTGTGACTTGCACAAGGTCTCATACTGGTAGATGGCATTTAAACCCATTTAGCTCTGAGGCTGACTGTCATAAAATCCTGTCCTCTCTTTCCTCTCCCCTGATAGATTCTTTACCATTTTTCAATTGGGAAAATGAGTTGTGTGTGCATGTCTTCTTCAGTGAAGACTGAAGAGGAGTCTCCAGTTGGCAGAAGTTAAGAGTTTAAGAAATGAGGGGCTGGTATGATAAGGTCATCCAGGAGAGGAGGGCATTTGACTTGAGAAGAGTGATGCAATTGCTGAGCAGGGTGGAGTGCCTGTGTGAGATGTGAGGTTACAATGTCAAGTGATTCTAGTGTGCACAGGTGTGGAATTTTTCTTTGTAACATTGACATGGGCTATGGTAGCTTTGGGATAAAGTCGTAGGAGGGGAATTGCTAAATCAGGAATCATGTCCATTTTATGTGTTGGTGTGGCAATTGCCAAAGAGCTATGCCAGTATACTCCTCTGTCAAAATGTTTGTCCACACTTGGTAATACGGTATAGTATCAAACTTGTGGATCTGCCATCTGCTAGGTAGAAATTATTTCATCATGCATGAGAGTGAACATCTTTTCCTGTGCTGCTTCTGTGAACTGCCTATTCATGGTGGGACTACTTAGGAATCTCAGAATAGTCAGATTAAAGGGAAATGTATTTTGTCCAAACCACTGAGCAAAAATACAGATATTAAGAAGAAAGTCATATTACCCTGGGGCCAGAACTCAATCAGTGGAATCAGGTGTGACTTTTTGGAAAGGGAGGCTTCCTCTGTCCTCACTAGAAACATTTTGATTGAGGCCATCACTGTCCTTAGAAACATGCCTTTTCCACCCAGGTTGTAGGTGCCATCCACCCAGAGACCTATACCCAGATTCCCAATTCCCATCACTGTAATCCCATAGCTAATCACAAATGAAAGTGTGCCTATGGCATAGTCCTAGGGAAACACTGAAAGAGAAGGAAAAGCAATGAAAATAAAAATGAAATGATAAAATAAAGCCTTTTGCTTATAGGTTTAGTGGGAACTAGGCATCAGAATTAGGCATTTGGCAGCATAGAAATGATACTAATGAATGCAAAAACTTTGAATCATGTACTTTTAACCTACTGTACAACTCCTCAAGAGAAAATAAGACTGCTAAGTCTAGTAAATTTGTCTAAGCTGAGAACCATGGTGCGTGCAGGTACACACACTCACGCATGCACCACACACGCCCCCCGCCCAACACACACACTGTACTCTTCCAAATTTTTAACCTCAGGTGTAAAAGAAATATTTTGGATTTTTTAAGGGTGGGGTTATATATAGGTTCTGTTGAAATGGGACTTGGGAATTACTGTAAGTTCATAGTTGGAGAGGTGCACATGGTACTGATGAAGAGAGAACACAGGGCATTGGGATAAGTTGCCAGTGCCGGTGCAAAGGGAATTGTTCTGAGGGTGTGGATGTGGCCAGAGGAGCCCAGCCCTCCCTGAGATATAGCAATGTCTTCATGTGTGACTGGATGTATGTTTTATATTTAGGACTCCTGGGAGTGAGAATGGGAGCACCACCCAGCAGATGCAGTGGAGTCTCACGAGGTGGGTGGTTTTTAAATTAAGGTGCTCTCTGAAGTCCTGGCTCCTGGAGTGTGATTCCAGAGGTAAGTAAGATCCAAACGGAAGGGCTACCTTTGCAGAGCAGTTCTGCTCTTACTTCCTATTTAGACTGTGCTTCTGTCTAGGAAGAAAAGTGTTCTGCTGCCAAAAGCATATTTGGGACAGTTCTAAATCACCTCCTATGTGTACTACTACTGTATTAGTCTATTCTCACACTGCTATAACGAACTGCCGGAGACTGGGTAATTTATAGAGAAAAGACATTTAATTGACTTATAGTTCTGCATGGCTGGAGAGGTCTCAGGAAACTTACAATCATGGGAAAAGGGGAAGTAGGCACGTCTTACATGGCAGAAGGTGAGAGAGAGCATGTGAAGTAGGAACTGTCAAACACTTATGAAACCATCAGGTCGCAGGAGAACTCACTCACTATCACGAGAACAGCATGGGGAAATCTGCCCCCATGATTCAATCACCTCCCACCAGGTCCCTCCCTTGACATGTGGGGATGATGGGGATTACAATTTGAGATGAGATTTGGGTGGGGACACAGAGCCAAACCATATCAACTATGTTATGGTTTCCATGTACTTTCACTCATTTAACTTTGACAGTTACCTAATAAGTCTCCCAGTTTTAGACACGATGGAGACTCAGAAAGCTTATGTGGCCTCCCCAAAGCCCCAGCTAATCAGTGGCAAGGCTGGATGTTGCAGACTGGACGTTTGTGTCCCCCACATATTCCTGTGTTGAAGCCCCAACCCTCAATGTGATTATGGAGATGGGCCCTTTGGGAGGTGATTGGGTTTAGATGAGGTCAGTAAAGTAGAGCCCTCATGCCTTTATAAGAAGAGACATCAGAGAGCTTGCTTCTTTTCTGTCTACCTTGAAGAAGGTGGCAATCTGCAAGCCAGGAAGAGAGCCCTCACCAGGACCTGGATGTACTGGCACTCCGATCACTAACTTCCAGCCCCCAGAACTGTGGAAAATAGATTCCTGTTATTTAAGCTACCTGGTCTATGAATACCATACAACATTGTATGGCAGGCTGAGCTGATGAAGACACTGGGTTTCAACCCATGTCAATCTGAATGCAGCATCCATGTTCATTCCAGTGAACCATGACACCTCTCCAGGATGGCCTGTGATTCCATTACGTGGTTCTGTTAAAATATCACACAATAATGGTAAGGCAACTTACAATGAAGCACGTGTAAATTTCCCCGCAATATCTGCAATGCCTTTTGGGATTGTTTTTGGTGTTTAAACTTGTCATAGGATGCTGCTCAAAAGGAAAGGTTTAATTCCTTCCTTTGGATTAAAAAGAGGATGGAGCTCCTCCTCAATAAATCCATCACCCCCAGAAGTCCACTATCACATCATGATCCTGGTTCCTATACAACTCTATTTCAAAGAAATGATTTAAAAGTCCTAAACAGTAGGAATTTCCTCTTACAGAGAAGTTGTTCTTTCACTATTCACCAATTTTTGCCTTTGAAAAATAGACTTGGTGAAAAGTGCACACAAGGCTTGTTCTGGGTTGATCATACACTTGTCAAAACATCTAAAGGCTAAGCCATATTCAGAGCTTCTCAGGGAGCACACTAGATCCAAAACAGCTATAAAAAAGAAAATTGCTTCTTATTTTTTTCCTTGTAAGTGAAAGGGGACTGAGCACCAAGTTCATTCCCCAGCTTCCTCTGAGACTAATCTTGGTTTGAGTTTCTTGACTGCAGGGGGTCTGTCCCTGGGCACTAATTCAGGGTAGTCCAACCACAGGAGTCTTTGGTCCTTGACAGTGACCACCCCCCAATCTTAGTTTCGGTGCTGGCCAAGACACTATCCAACCCCACTCCATCAACATTTCTCTGCTCTCCGATTTTTTGTCTGAAAGCCCGATTCCATTCTTTGCACCAACTCCTACCGCTGAAGAAGCCAGTGATGTGAAAGATCTGAGATCTTGGAAGCTCTCCACCTGCCTCATCACAGGCAAACCAGGTATTGCTAACTTGCCTTTGAACAAACATAATAATTTTTCTTAAATCTAGAAGTGCCAGGCATTTGAAAATTATTTTTTAAGTTACTTAAAATTGATCATTTAATGCAACCGCATGTCATTTTGGTTTAAATTAATGCTTTTTCTCATGTAAAATTTAAAAATGTAAATATTAGCAAAGTGTACATACATGTTTGTATCCTAATTTTTCATAAAACATGACAACATATTGTTTTCCAAGTTATTATGAAAATGTCATACTATATTTTAAAATTACATCCTAGCACAGCTAGTGAAATGAGGAGGCAATTTGGTATCGAGGGAAGACTAAGGGCTTCAGAGTCAGACTTATCTTCAAATATCTACAGTCACTTAGCAGTGGATGTGATTTACTTGCCCTCTCTGTGCCCCAGATTGTAAAGTGAAGTAATATCATCTAAGTTTCATAAACGTGAGAATTAAATGAGAAATTAACCTGGTGCTTCATAGTTGCTGTTTTCATTGCTGTTTCATGATTAAAAAGCAGATGTGTAATACTGAGCTTTTCTCCAGTTCTTGGGCATACTGTACCTGTTCTCTTTAAATTTGTGTTTAGAGGGTCTCATGTTTCTCCATGAAACTTTGCTGCAGGTTTAAAGAGCAAATGCGGCCAGACGCGGTGGCTCATGCCTGTAATCCCAGCATTTTGGGAGGCCAAGATGGGCAGATCACGAGGTCAGGAGATCGAGACCATCCTAGCTAACATGGTGAAACCCCATCTCTACTAAAAATACAAAAAATTAGCAGGGCGTGTTGGCACGTGCCTGTAATCCCAGCTACTTGGGAGGCTGAGGCAGGAGAATCTCTTGAACCTGGGAGGCGGAGGTTGTATGAGCCGAGATCACGCCACCGCACTCCAGCCTGGGTGACAGGGCGAGACTCTGCCTCAAAAAATAAATGAATAAATAAAATAAAAATAAAAATAAAGAGTGAATGCAATTCTGTTTGAGGCCTTGGCCACTGTATCTCTCAGTAGCTTATGCTATTGTTAAACAGGTAATGATAAGAGGAAAGGTCTAAGCTCTTGAAACCTGAGGACCAGTTGGCCTTCTAAAATGTTCCAGAAGAGCATGATGTTGAATCCGATGCCTCTGGACTCCACTCTGTGGCAACAGGGCAAAAGACACCAATTCAGTTAGCCTAAAATCAGTCTAACAGAAGATACTTACAGAATGCCTTCTATGGGCCAGTCTTTGCTCTAAATAGGGAAAAAGATGAGGTCCCTGATCTCGATATACAGAGAGGAGACAGACAATAAATACAGTTCATGCAAGCTCAGCATTCAGTAAGTGATGAAAAGTGGAAAGGAATTGGGGTGGGTATTTTATTTTATTTTCTGAGACAGATCTCTCTCTGTCACCCATGCTGGAGTGCAATGGCATGATCTCTGCTTACTGCAACCTCTGCCTCCCAGGTTCAAGCGATTCTCCTGCCTCAGCCTCCTGAGTAGCTGGGATTACAGGTGCCCACCACCACAGCTGGCTAATTTTTGTATTTTTAGTAGAGATGGGATTTCGCCATGTTGGCCAGGCTGGTCTCAAACTCCTGACCTCAGGTGATCCGCCCGCCTCGGCCTCCCAAAGTACTGGGATTACAGGTATGAGGCACCATGACTGGCTCTGAGGTGGGTATTTTATAAAGGTGATCAGGGTATTCTTTTTCAGGAAGTACCATAGAGCAGAGCCTGAAGGAAATGAGAGCCAGCTATGTGAACATTTAACACTGAAGGGTGACCAACCCTCCTGTTTGCCCAGAGTGAGGGATTTCCTAGAAAGCAGGGCTTTCAATGTTAAAATCAAGACAGTTTCAGGCAAACTGGAATGCCTGATCACCCCAGTAAGAGTGTTCCAGGCCCGAGGTAACAGCCAGTGTGAAGGCCAGTAAGAGAGAAAGAATGTGGTGTGTTTTGGAGGTGTCCGGGAGGCCAACGTGATGGATAAAGCAGGAGAGAGAGGAGAGATGAGTACAGAAAGGGAGGCCAAGCTGGGCCACCCAGGGCTGCTGGTCAGGGTAAGGGCAGATGGATGAATGATCCCCATGAACCACTCCCAAGTATTCAGGTGCAGGGAGATGACGAAGGTGGGGAGTGATGAGAGGCTGCTGCAAAAGCAGGGCTCTGCGGCCACCGAGAGTGAGGCCTGCGAGTTCTCCCGACGCCGCGGCAGATGGAAAACTGCATCCTAGACCATCCCACAGAGCTGACAGTATTAATGCTCTTCTTTACCCACCGCCATCATTGGGAGAATGCAATTAGTGGATTTTTCTAGTAGGAGCAACAAAACAATTTTTCTTGAGCTGCATAGGCCTGAGCATTTAATGCCAATGCTGTTGGCAAACACCCCTGGTAAGTGTCTAGGCTTCCCTTGGGTCCCTGACTGTAACAGTGTTTCTCTGAGGGCCACCCTCATGCCTGCACAGCCCCATGCTCACCAAGGTCAGAGCTGAAAGGATGTGGCCAGCCGCAGACTTTTTTCTTCCAGATGAAGAAATTAGGACCAAAAGAGGAGGAAGTGACTTTGTCCAGGGACACTCTGGAAGTTAGAGGCAGATCTGGGAGGGCAGCAGGCTGAGAGACTGGCCTTGATATGGAGCCAGGGTGGCTGCACCTGAGCTAGATGGGCCAGATGGGCAGGTGCTGCCCCCTCCCAGCGGTTTCACTTGGGCTGTGTGAACAGGAACTTGGTCTTGAGGACATGGGGAAAGCCTGTCTGATTTTGTTCCTCTCGACTTAAGGCCACGGCATGAACATGGCAGGAATGTGCTGGAGGGACCCCTTATTGAAGGGGTGCACAACAAAACATATAGAGTGCATTCCGAGAAGAGTGAGACCAGAGGGAGAGAAGAATTGAAAGCATCCTGCCTGGCCTATGATTGGAGGGACTGAAACTTTCTTTAAAGGTCAGAAAAGGAGCTGGGGTCAGCAGTGCAGAACATGAGGGCTGAGTCCAAATATTTGAAGGGCTGACATGCACAAATAATGTACTTTGCTTGATTTTTATTTTCTCTGTCATTTATTTAGTCATACTTTTGCCACAGTGCTACTTCTCATGTTTTATTCCAAATATATAGCACTGTAACTTCTGCAGATAGGATTAGCCGCTTATTTATGGGCCTGGGGCCTGAATCACCCTTTAGAAGAATGAGTTTCCATCCTAGCTGTACATTTTAGGGGGCTTTGTCAATGCTGATATCCTGTCCCAGGAATTCTGATTTAATTGGTCTAGGGTGGAGCCTGTGATAGTTTAGACCATTGAGTGGAGTATTTTTTTTCCCCCATCCTCTTGATATTGGGCTTGGCCACATAAACTTGCTTCAGCCAGTAGGATATTACTGGACATGACATGAGCAGAAGCTTTAAATGTGCTGTTTGTCTTGTCTCTTGCAGTCCAGCGATCTACTGCGAGAAGAACACATCCTCGTTGGCCACTGGTCCAAGGAGAGTGAAACATATGTGAAGCTGACTTGAATCCAACCTACAATCTGGAGCTGTCACCCAGGTGAGTCAGGCTAGAACAGTTGTGCTCTAGCCATCAACAGACCTATGAGTGAGAAATAGATGTTTGTTGTTTTAAGCCACTGAGTTTTGAGATATTTGTCACACAGCATTGTTATAGCAGTGTCTAACTGATACAAGGCCTCAGTCCTAAGAGATTCTAATTCAGTTGGTTTGGGTTAAGGCCCAGTACTATGGCCTGAATTTTTGTGTCTCCCCAAAATTCATATGTTGAAACCTAATCACTAATGTGATGGTGTCAGGAAGTGGGACAACTGGGAATCAGTTAGGTCATGGGGATGGAGCCCTCATGAATGGGTTTAATGTCCTTAAAAAAAAGTGCCTCAGAGAGCCGCCTTCTACCAGGTGAAGAGACAGTGAGAAGTTGGCATCAATGAATCAGGAAATCGGCCCTCAGCAGACACTGAGCCAGCTGGTGCCTTGATCTAGGACTTCCCAGCCTCCAGAACTGTGAGAATTAAATATCTTTTGTTTGTAAGCTCCCCAGCCAATGGCACTTTGTTATAGCAGTGCAAACGGACTAAGACACCCACGCATCAGTATTTCTTAAAAATGCTCTCCAAATGATTCTAATGTGCAGCCAGGGTTGATAACTGCCAATCTGAAAATTGCTTTTCCATCCAGGAGTCAAGCCAAGGTTTACAAATGATGAGATCACTTAGAACCAGTATTTCTAAAAACTTGGCTTTGGAACCACCCGTGTAAGAATGCCTGGGCTTGTAGCGCTTCTTACTTGTTAAAAATACAGATACCTGGGGCCCACCCCAGACCTACTGAATCGGATTCTCTGGAGTGGGCCAAGCAACATGCATTCTAACACACTCCCTCTTGGTCACTTTCCAAGCTCACTAAAGTTTGAGAAAGGCTGATGTAGAGATTATGCCACATTCCCCACCACCCTGCAATGAGAGAGTTGATGATAATTGAAATGTTCCTATAAAAATTGCAAGCCACTCCTGCTTGCTTCTATGAATACCTGACTTGAGTCTTTTAGTCTTTATAGTGAAGATCTGTGGGAGGAGAAACACATTCTGATCTGATTTTGATGTAATGAAGGAGGTTGGACTAAATTATTTCTTTCAGCCCTAACACTGAATGATTTTACATCATTGTATTTGTTGTGATAATCAGCGTAGGTCTGGTATGGTGTGATTCAACTCTTAGCTCTTGCTGGAAGAAGGGTGTGAAATAGCCTTGAGCAGGAAGTCACAGACCCCTGTGGTTCCTGCCTCAGGCACTATGCCACGCTGCCCCAACCCTTCTGGTCTTGAGACTGAGCTGTGGGCCCACCAGGGTATGGGCCTTGCAGCGGGCACTCTGGACTTTTGTGGCTCTTGTCTGATTTGCTTTTCTTTTACCCTGTGCTCCATTTCTGCCCCAGTTTGGACTCTTGGCTTTAAGTCTGGACTTTATTACCATTGCTCATCTTTTGAACTTGAGCTTGACACTTGCTCTCCCCTTAATGTGAATCTCAGTTTTTTTCTTATGGACTCTGATTTGATGTCACACTTCTAGCCCAGTGGTTTCAGTGTCACCTGGGGAACTTGAAACAAGCCTGATTCTGGCTGCCTCCCAGATAATTCATCAGAGTCTCTGGGGTGGGACAGAGGTGTCTGAATTTGCAAATGCTACCCAAGAGATTCCAAAGGGCAGCCAGAGTTGAAAAGCATTCCCTGGAAGAAAGCAGACCTCCCCGCAGCCCTCATCATCCTCATCCCCAAAGCCTGCGTTAGATCTCTATCGCCAGGGTGCTGCTTCCCTCAAAAGGATTTCAACATAGTAACCACATTTCCATGCAATAGAAGAGCTCTTTTAATGTCAATCCCAAACTGGTAGTTACTTCCCTACCCTCAAGGAGTGGAGTTTGAAATATGCCACCGATCATCAAGATGCAGGCTGAGAACAGAGGCAGCTGGCCAAAGAAAACAGAACGCTCACATGAGAGAGACACGGACAGAAAGCTGCGGGGCCATGCAAAATAGGGAGGAGAAGCCATTCCCCATAATGAGTCACCGGCGGCAGGCACTTTGCAGAGCAATACAGTTGATAAATACTCTGTACTTAAAGTGAACTTTGAACAAATGCATAAGCAGAAATTGAGAGTTTTCTGCAAATAGAAGAAAGCAAGGGCTTGGTACAAAGAAGCTGTGTCCCAGCACAGACTCAAGTGGAACAAGAGTGTGGTTGGAGACAATGGAAGTAAGCTAGCAGAAGCTAGGTAGGAAAATCAATTTCCAAATCCAGATGGATCAGATGGCAGTCAAGCTTCCAGGTATAGTAACGAAGGTGGGATCACACTCGTTTTGCAATGATAAGAAATTGGAAATTCGTATCAGAATCTCCCTGTGCATTATTTATAGTTTGCTGAATGCACCACAGCCTAAACTGACTGTATAATAAGTAGTTTATCATTTTCATTCCAGAGGGTGAACTCATCATTTTCAATTAATTATTTTGTTGTCTCCTTGAAGGCTAGAGCTAAGGAATCCCATCAGTTTCTTTAATAGAAACAGATCTGTACGGAGAGTTTGAGTGTTCAGTTTGGGGCAGAGCAGGTGAGTAGCTCCCCTTAGGAAACGGGGCTTCATCATTCTAATATCTCTCTAGGACTGCAACAAACAGTGTTAGTACCATCAGTCCCTAAAGTAGATGAACATTGACTGTGAGCAAGGAAGAATGGAAAAGCCCCGGGAACGATGTGGCTGGGACATTCTTCAATGAGACAGGAAGTCAGAAAGATCTGAAAAGAGCACCAGTCTTCAAACTGGAAGGTTGGGGGAGTCAAGCAGAACATTTCAAAGCAGCATGCCTGCTTGTCATTAAGATGAGAAACCAGACACACCCTTTCCTCGTGCAGCACCAGGTGATCTTAACAAGGCAGCCCAAACTCACTGGCCCATCAGTTCCAATGACAACGTTTGGGTGAGAACGGGATCTGACTCTCTTCATCTCCCAGGACCAGATATTGATTTAGGTTTCTGACAGGAATATAATTTTATTTTCTCAGTGATTTAAACAGACATTCTTTAGAAAGAAACATCAGGGCTGAAAGTGCAGTCCTGTGAATGGACTTACTCTTTCAGCCTTCCCTTCTTTCCTGGTTGGCTAGGGAAGCACCTCTCAGCTCCTCCACCTTCGGGGATTCTCTTTGAAAGAGCTTGTAGAAACTCAGCAGAGGAGGGGGTTAAACTACATTGCCACTGAAAACAAATGAAAAGTGAATGATTACTTCGGAGCTGAGCTGAAACTGAGCTCTGCCATGGCAATATGCTCCTGATGACAATGTGTAGTTACGTGAAAGGCCTCCTTGGATTTCCACAGAAAAGGGCAGATTAAAAGCAAACAAAGGGATAAAAAGCATAAACCTTAAATAGCTGGAGCAAAGCCGGGTAGTAGGAACAGCCCTTGCCAGGTTATGTCTCTTGGGGCCTCTGGACCAAATCCCGTTTCACACCAGATTTAATGGAGAATTCCTCTGCAAGTCAAAATCTGTCCTCTGCCTTTGGACATCTTCCTTTAAAATGATGTGAATGAGCTTGACCTCCTCTTCAGGACCGCCAGGCCCCACTAAAGCCCCTGTAGAGTTGGTGTCCATCCGGGGTCTGCTACCTGAATTCTCTCATTTGGAGATCCAGTTTCATCACTGATTTTTAAAAATTCTTTATCTGAGAAGAAAGGAATATTTAGATATTTAATTGGCATATAACGAGATAACTATAACAAGTTAATTAGTTCTCAATTAAGTTGCATTTACCATACTTCCTGAATGTGTTCTCAGCAATTAGGGGCATCTAATGAACCTGCAGTAGCTGCTTGGCTTCCCACAGTAAGTAGGAAGATGAGACCCACTCTTCTTGAGTCTGAGGCAGCATGGCATTGTTTTCTTGAAAGCCAGCAGCGTGGTATACATCCAACCTGTCTCAGAAGCAATTGAATGTAACTGCTGGTACATTCAGTGAAACAATAAGCTGAGTGAGGTCTGTGACACAGGAACGAAGTCGTGGGATTAATGTAATGGAAAGAGCACTGACTTTGGAATCCAATGGATGTGAGTTCAAGCCCTGACTACTGCTTTCTAGTTATGTGACTGTCTTAGTCCATTTGTGTTGCTATAAAGGAAAACCTGAGGTTGGGTAATTTATAATAAAAAGAGGTTTATTTGGCTGATGGTTCTGCAGGGCTGTTCAAGAAGCATGGCATTGGCTTCTGCATCTGGTGAGGCCTCAGGAAGCTTCCACTCATGGTGGCAAGTGAAGAGGAGCTGGTATGTGCAGGGATCACATGGTGAGAGAGGAAGCAAGAGACAAGGGAGGGAGGAGCCAGGCTCTTTTTAATAACCAGCTCTCTTGGGAACTAAAGGAGTGAGAACTCACCCTCCACTCACAAAAAGAGATTTAACCTATTCATGAGGAATTTATCTCCATGACCCAAATACCACCCACTAGGCCCCACCTTCAACATTGGGAATCAAATTTCAACGTGATATTTGGAGGGGGTCAAATTAACCAAACTATGGTGGCGACTTTGGGCAAGTATCTTAGAATCCCCAAACCTCAGTTTCCCCATTTTTATGCTAGGCATTACAATACAGACCTCAATATAAAGTTGCTGTGTAGATTGATGAGAGAATGCAAGGGAAAGTCCTACAGTTTCTGTGTATAGTAAACTTTTTCTTTTTTGAGACTGAGTCTTGCTCTATTGCCCAGGCTGGAATGCAGTAGCGCAATCTCAGCTCACTGCGATCTCAGCCTCCCAGGTTCAAGCAATTCTCATGCCTCAGCCTCCCGAGTAGCTGGGATTACAGGCGTGTGCCACCACAACAGGCTAATTTTTGTATTTTTAGTAGAGATGGGGTTTTACCATGTTGGCCAGGCTGGTCTTGAACTCCTGAACTCGAATGATCCACCTGCCTTGGCCTCTCAAAGTGCTGGGATTACAGGCATGAGCCACCACGCCTGGCCAACATTGTTACTAGTTTGTGAATGTTTCTCTGTGGCCTCTGTCATTTTGAAAGATTTGGCCAAGAGATTACCTGGCTAAACCCTTGGAGTGTTAATTGTCATATTTAGTCATTGCAGGAATCCACTAGTCAAATTTCACTGCCCTGTTAGTGGAGAAATCATCATGAAAGCATTATCAGAATATTACAGCATGGCCAGGGAATGTACGTGGAGAAGGTTAATTATTCATTTTATCCTGGTGTTTTCCCTTAAGATCACATTGTTCAGTGAGATTGAGATCTGAAAAAATGATTGAGTGTTATCAGCGAAGCACCGTGGAAGAATGAGACTGAAACCATCCTCTTTGGGGAGGAAATAGAGTTACGGAGGGGAAAGGAAGGGGTTACGGTTCTCAGAGAAGCATGTGCCCTGCAGCTTCAGGGTTCTGGCTCTCCCTCTGTATTCCTTTCTATCCACAGGTTTTCACCTCTCCTTCAGCGCCAGCTATGATTAAAAAGCCACGTTGGGGAATCATCAGAAGGAGGGAAAAAAATTTACAAACTAATTTGCATTTTAATGAATTTTTAATTGAACCAAAATCTGTTGTTTCTGTTTAAAGATGCAGTGCTGACTTTGTGGTCTCTGCTGCTGAGGGCCAAGTGGGAACTTAATGTGATAAAAACAATGATAATGCTAAGCTTAATTAGGTTTGAAAACTTGTCTGGAAAGGCTGCAGGGAGCCTAGGAATGGCGAGCATTTGCTAGCAGTGGGCTAAGAAACTGGATTGGATTGGTAGAGGCTTTCTGCTTCATACCAAAACCGCAGCCAGGCACTCATGACGGGCCAGGTGATTGGTCTCATGGCTATAGTGCTTAGGAATTTCTAAGTATGGGTGTCAGACGAGTCCAGCCAGTAGTTGGTAGACAATACATTTCTACACTGGCTTTTTTTTTTTTTTTTTTTTTTTTAAATCACCAACGTCGCCTCCTTTTCTGTATGTCACTTAGCAGGGTCTTAGTTGAGGTCATTCATGGATAAGACACACATATGGTGGTTAAGGTGACTGACGTGCCCTTTTGGAGAAGGCGTTGAGAGACCACCATTGAAAACAGTTGTCAGTGGTCTGAGATTTTACCCTTCTACCTTATCTGGGACAGGGACAATGAACTTTATTACTTACAGGGAAATCTGTAGCCAGAGTTTCATGTTCATGCCAGTTCTCCATGACCTGAAGTCCCATGAGGATGGGAGGAAATGACATAGGTGTGCCTTGATGGGTACCTGCACAGGCAGTGGGCTGGGTGACAGAGGATGAGCCCTGAGCTTGGAGGATTTATCATTTTTATAGGGAGGGAAAGAAAGCCTGCTCTTTGGGGAGAGAGATGTCCCTGAGAAGCAGCCCAAGTGAAGAACGGTCAGGGCCTTGCATCCTGGCACAGCCAGCAAGAATGTGCAGGGATGTTCAGGGGCCATGGCTGGTCCCTCTCCCAACAACTGTGGCCACACACTACTTTCAAAGTCAAGGACAATGTCTCAGCTGATTTGAATGCACTGTGTGCAGGAGGAAGGTTGGGAAGAGATTTCTTTCTTTACTGGAAAGGAGTAAGATATTTGTTGAAATTACTGTGCTATTAGTCCCCCATTTTGGAATATTTGTGTGGTGGGGGAGAATTCTGGAAAGTTAACTGATGTGTACCTCCTTCCCCTCTGAATGTTAACTGATGAGTACCTCCTTCCCCCATTTGCTCCTCCAGGCCTGTCTGCCATTTCTCCATCTGCCACTTCCAGTTTTCAGCCTTCTGCCCAGCAGCCCAAGGTGAGCCCACTTTCTCCCAAGGTGATGACTGCGGTAGGGCCAGAGGAAAAAAGACTTTGCATGCTTCGTTTTAAAGATTAAAAAGCCACTGCCCGGGAGTGTGGCCGAAAAGTTTTGAAACATTGTTTGCCAAGCAGATGTTTTTCTTTTGTAAACACAGACTAGATAGAAATCCCACGGGCCGATGCCAGGAGAGAACAGTCAGAGAGGAAGTAGGAAGTTTAGGCCCTTGTGAACTGTCTCTTCAGGCTGAGTTGGGGGGTGCTTACCTGATGGAACCCGTAGATAAATGTGGGGCTAAACCACAACGGGAGAAAAATGGAAGCCCAAAATATGATAGAAAAAAACTGAGAAACCTGCAAATTTTCTTATGGTGTGCATGAACAGTTGAATTTTCCCCATGGCCCAAGGCCAGCTTCTGTAGGACATCAGGGTTGACAAAGGTTTCAGCCCATCCTGTGGGTTCCAGCTTGTCCTTGGTCTCCGTCATATTAGGTCCATCTTCTTTTCCCAAAATACTGCCCTGAAGATTTCAAATCCAACACCAGACACAAACACAACAGTGTTATAGGGACTGCTTACAGCTGTGTAAGATCAAATCCCTGAAACAAACTTTCCATCTATCTGCCAGCCTATCTATGTATCTGTCTATCATCTATCTATCTATCTATGCATCCATCCATCCATCTACCCACCCATTCATCCATCCTAGCGGTTCGGCTTCTCTGTGGCTTAGAAAGGTCACTATGGTTTCATGGAGAAGGAAACATCTAGAAACAGGGGGGCGTGTGAACACAGAAAGAAGAGAAAACATTTGAGAGAAATTTCTTCCCTGTGCTCCCTTCAGTCACTGAACTCTTTCCTCCCCCAAATCCTCTGGACTCCTAACTAAGTCCTCTCATCCCATAGAAGCTCTAAGAGAGAAGCGAGAAACCAGGCCATATTCAAGGTTATCCAAACCGGGGGGCAGGGCCATGTCAGGGGTTGCTCCCTACCAGGGTAAGAGGCTTGTCTCAGTTGCAGGAAGCAGAGTGGCCCTTGTGAGTTGACAGCTTTTCAAATGCATCTCTTATGATCCTGAATCTAGTCAAAGAGCATGACTCACAAACAAACCTAATTATTTTTAGCATCTCTTTTTAAAAGGTAAAAGAACAAATTTTGTAATAGCCTTTTCCAGTGGCTTACTGGGAATTTTTAGAAATAGGTATAGAAAAGTCCCTACACATTTTATTTTGTTTTACTTTAAAATTAAGATTCAATCTAGGGAAGACAAAATCTAAAGATATGTTAGAGATGACTTAAACATTTGGTTAAGATAGGTATCTGAAAAATAATAGTTTTTCAAAGTGACTATAAAACATTTAAAAATAACATAGACTTGAAAAGAAATTTAGCTCTTTTATGAGGGATGAACCTTTGTTCTTTTTTGTTTTGTTTTGCTTTTTCAATAATCAAGAGTATAATAAAATTGACATAAGACACAGAAAATTGTTAATTATTGATAATTGATAATTACTGATAATTACTTCTAATAACAAAATTATTCTGAATCTTTTATGTCTTGGATGATCACGCAGAAGGTAAAGAATATTCTTTCATATTGTAGGTAAAGATATTGGTCAGTAAACAAGAAAACTCGCCCTTCAAAATGAAGCAAACTCTGCCAAAATGTTGACATGTCTCATATTTTCTTTTTAGATTCAGGCATTATAAACTAAGGAAAATAAAATTCACTTCTCATCTTTTGTCTTTCATTTACCTTCATATTCTGGAACAGATTGGCTTGAAAAAACAAAAGCACATAGGCTCTTACATTTCTTTGTGTTCCTAGTAGACAGTTATGGTTTGGCTGTGTCCCCACCCAAATCTCACCTTGAATTGTATGCCCACAATTCCCAAATGTTGTGGGAGGCACCCAGTCAGAGATAATTGAATCATGGTGGCAGTTTCTCCCATACTGTTCTCGTGGTAGTGTTTTCATGGTAGTCTCACGAGATCTGATGGTTTTACAAGGGAAACCTGTTTCGCTTGGCTCTCATTCTCTCTTGCAGCCATCATTTAAGAAGTGCCTTTTGCCTTCCGCCATGATTGTGAGGCTTCCCTATCCACGTGGAACTCTAAGTTCATTAAACCTCTTTCTTCTGTAAATTGCCCAGTCTCAGGTATGTCTTTTTTTAGTTTTATTTATTTATTTATTTATTTATTTATTTATTTTGAGATGGAGTCTTGCTCTGTCGCCCAGGCTGGAGAGCAGTGGCCCAATCGCGGTTTACTGCAAGCCCCGCCTCCCGGGTTCACACCATTCTCCTGCCTCAGCCTCCCAAGTAGCTGGGACTACAGGTGCCTGCCACGACCCCGGCTAATTTTTTGTATTTTTAGTAGAGAGGGGGTTTCACCGTGTGTTAGCGGGGATGGTCTTGATCTCCTGACCTCATGATCCGCCTGCCTCGGCCTCCCCAAGTGCTGGGATTACAGGAGTGAGCCACTAAGCCCGGCCTCAGGTGTGTCTTTATCAGCAGTGTGAAAATCGGCTAATACATACAGTCTTAATCATCCATATTAATTATGACTTTTAACTTAAGTAACTTCTATTTCACAGAGAAAATTTCGGGGTAGATAATTGAGAACTGTCTGTCATATAGAAGCATTTTAGCAGACTAACAAAGCTTGTGATACACATAATACAATTTTCTTCATCTAGACATTTACACTTCAAAATGAACATGTTCGTTAATATGATCCAAAAATATAGCTGTATAGCATGTAAAGATAAGAGTCAGAAGTCCATAAACTTTATGCTTAGTAATCAATGTTGTCATATTCTATGTTATTTAATAGGAGATATCTGGGTTTCTAAAATCCATTAATTAATTCACTTTAATATTTGTCTAAGTTTTAATTTAACTAAAGATGTTGAAAATTATGTCTAAACTGGTTCACTCTGAAGAATAATTGCTGTTGATATGAAAAGTTTGTCAGAATAATTCAACTTAGTTGAACACAAATTTATAATTTTCATAATCTTAAACATCATGTAGGAGTTTGTTTAGTAAATTAGTAGTTATTAGCTTATTTGATTAGTAAACCTGTACATGTTTAGAAGATTCAGATAATTATTTTGTCCTTGAGAAAACAAACTCAAGTAAAATAATGTGTACTGTTATATTATACTTAACACTCATAAATCAGAGAATAGACAGTTTTTCTTAACCTAGTGTGATTTCCAAAATTTACCTTAATTATGTAAACTTGGTTTCTTAAAATGTTTGAGTGAACAATTTGTGAAAGAAGGATTTTTTAAAAGTGTAGTCTATGATGTTAAAGTATAAATTCAATGTTTTATTTTCTAAAAATTTTAGAAATATTCTATTTATACAAGTGTTTATCTTTATAAACTAACCAGAACAGAGCCTCCTGTAATTTTAGAAACATTATAATCTAATTTATTAATACCATCCCATAATAAGAAAACAATTCATACGTCTACAAGGAGAAGTCAAGGCCTTTCTCAATTACAGACAAATGATCATATAGAGTTAGTAGCTTCAGTGCTACAACTTTAGCCAGAAGTCAAAAATAAATACAGAAACACCAAAATCTTCTGGTCCAGATTTCAAAGAGTCAATCTACTTTCTGGTGGATATGAAATTCTTAATTGTTTTCAGCTCAAAATAGACAAATAGACCAATGAACAGGAAGGACTAGCAAACCAGGTATCTGCCATCTCTCTCTCACTCAGTAGAGACTAGATCTGTATCATCCCTCTGCAGAGATTACCGAAGAGTTAAACCATAAAACCAAATTCATCATCATTACTGCCATCTTGGGGAATTAATTTATTGGCTCTGTGTGAACCACTGACAAAACAAAGGCACCAAAATAGTCGAGAGGAAACAACTTCCCTTTTTGCCTTTCCTCTTCACTGACCCTCTTGTTTAGAGAAAGCTCCCTGCTGCTGTGGCCTGAGTCCCACGGGCAGCTCTGGGCGGAGCAGATGGTTTCAGCATGGCCTTTGCTGATGGAAGTCAACACCACTCGTCTGATGCTCTTCGTGGGATGCTCCTAGCGTGACAGCAAACACCACACTGGGAGCTAATTAACATGTGCCTAAGACTTGAGGCAATGGAGAGAGAGCACTGTGGTTTTCCACAAATTTAAAGTTGGAAGGAAAGCTGAGCTATCTTCCCATCCAATGTCCTCATTTGCTGAAGGAGAAACTGAGTCCTTGTGAGCCCAGGGTCCCACATCAAGTTATACATGGAGCTGAGACCAAAAACTGCAGCCCTTCTGTCTTCTAGTTGTCACAACCAGTGGAGTTTAAGTTTCTATCTTGTAGCTGAGTTGATTTTTTGGTGAAAGGAGTGGTACTAAACCCCCCTAAAAGCTTTTGTGTGTAGGTAACTTTCTGGTCAGGTACCTCACTGCTTTCATCATGATCAGGGCACTGATCCTCTCACTGTAGAAGTTTTAGAGGAAAGCCGGATACTGTGGACTCAGAAATTGCCTCTTTTTTTGGATCAAGGCAAGTTAGAGACTTGGTAAATAGATGGGTTTATAAAGTTGATTTAAAAGATACCTATTTATCAAGCCCACTTGGCCAGTCAGCTCAATATTCCTTAAGCCCCCAATATTGTGTGATGGGAGTAAGAGGAGATGTCGAGGAAGGGAAACAAAAGCCAACTAATGCTGGACACTTTACAGGCCAACTCCTTAAATCCTCAGAGAAGTTCTATTAATATCAGATTCCTCATTCCAAGTTGGATATGAGGAAATAGATGCTTATCCAGTGTCATAGAGCCAGCCTTTTTGGGGAGCATTAAAACCTGAGCTGGAGCCCATCACATTGCACCAGGAAGCTTCCTCAGCCCATCCAGCTGGTGGCAAGAGCCACACTGAGGGGAGGATTAACTGCCCCAGGAGAGACAGAAACTAGGTGTGAAAAGGGCAGATACTGGTTTCCACAGCAGCAAGGAAGGAAGAGGTGCTGGGAAAGTTGACCACGTGACCACCATTTGCCTGTGCATCAAATAATGGGAAGGGGTTTGGAGGCATGGAGGTGAGGAAGAAAGAGCATGCCATGTAGAAAGTGCTTAGAATTTGTACCCATGGGGCAATTTTGGGAAAAGGCAAGCAGATTGGTTGGTGTGTGTCATAGCGGGTTTGCGAGGGAATTTTAAAAAGATCATCATCATTACAGAAATTCCATTCATTGAGTCTTTTTCTGCAGGCTAGTGTGTTAGTCCATTCTCACACTACCTGACTCTGGGTGATTTATAAGCAAAGGAGGTTTAATTGACTCACAGTTCTGCATGGCTGGGAGGCCTCAGGAAACTTACAATCATGGCAGACGGGGAAGCAGACACATCTTACAAGGTGGCAGGTGAGAGAGAGTGCATGAAGGAGGAACGGTTGAACACTTATAAAACCATCAGATCTCATGAGAACTCACTCACTATCACAAGAACAGCATGAGGGAAACTGCCCTTATCATCCAATCACCTCCCACCAGCTTCCTCCCTTAACATGTGGGGATTATGGAGATTACAATTAGAGATGAGATTTGGATGGGGACGCAGAGCCAAACCATACAATTCCACCCCTAGCCCCTCCCCTATCTCATGTCCTTTCTACATTTCAAAATGAACCATGCCTTCCCAAGAGTCCCCCAAAGTTTTAACTCATTCCAGTATTAAATGTCTCCCAAAGTCTCATCTGAGACAAGGCAAGTCTCTTCCACCTATGAGCCGATAAAATAAAAAACAAGTTAGTTCCTTCCAAGATACAGTAGGGGTACAGGCATTGGGTAAATACACGCATTCCAAATGGGAGAAATTGGTCAAAACAAAGGGGCTACAGGCCCCATGCAAGTCCAAAATCCAGTGGGGGCAGTCATTAAATCTTAAAGCTCCAAAATGATCTTCTTTGACTCCATGTCTCACACCCAGGGCACACTGATATAAGGGTGGGCTCCCATGGCCTTGGGCAGCTCCTTCATGGGCTGGTGATGAGTGCCTGTGACTTTTCCAGGTGCACGGTGCAAGCCGTTGGTGGATCTACCATTCTGGGGTCTGGAGTACGGTGGCCTTCTTCTCACAGTTCCACTAGGCAGTGCCCAAGTAGGGATTCTGTGTGGGGGCTCTGACCCTACATTTCCCTCCTGCACTGCCCTGGCAGAGGTTCCCCATGAAGACTCTGCCCCTGCAGTAAACTTCTGCCTGGACATCAATACATATCCATACACCCTCTGAAATCTAGGCAGAGGTTCCCAAACCTCAATTCTTGACTTCTATGCATCTGCAGGTCCAATACCATGTGGAAACCCCCAAGGCTTGGGGCTTGCACCTCCTGAAGCAATGGCCTGAGCTGTACCTTGGTCCCTTTTAGCCACACTGGAACTGAAGCAGCTGGGACACAGGGTGCCAAGTCACTAGGTTGCACAGAGCGGTGGGGCCCTGGGCCTGGCCCACGAAACTATTTTTTACTCCTAGGCCTCCAGGTCGGTGATGGAAGAGGCTGCTGCCAAGATCTCTTACATGCCCTGGAGACATTTTCCCTATTGTCTTGGCAATTAACATTTGACTCTTAGTTACTTATGCAAATTTCTGCAGCCAGATTGAATTTCTCCCCAGAAAATAGGTGTTTTTTTTAGTTTATCATCGTCAGGCTGCAAATTTTCCAAACTTTTATGCGCTGCTTCCCTTTTAAACATAAGTTCCAATTTCAGATCATCTGTCTCAAGTTCAAAGTTCCACAGATCTCTAGGGCAGGGGCAAAATGCTTCCAGGCTCTTTGCTAAAACAAAGCAAGAGTCACCTTTGTTCCAGTTCTCAAGAAGTTCCGCATCTCCGTCTGAGACCATCTCAGCCTGGACTTCATTGTCTATATCACTATCAGCATTTTGGTCAAAACCATTCAAGAAGTCTCAAGGAAGTTCCAAACTTTCCCACATCTTCCTGTCTTCTGATGAGCCCTCTAAACTGTTCCAGCCTCTGCCCATTACCCAGTTCCAAAGTCACTTCCACATTTTCAAGTATCTTTATAGCAGGATCCCACTAACTTAGTACACATTTACATATTAGTCCATTTTCACACTGCTATAAAGAACTTTCCTGAGACTGGATAATTTATAAAGAGGTTTAATTGACTCACAGTTCTGCATGGCTGGGGAGGCCTCAGGAAACTTACAATCATGGCAGAAGGCAAAGGGGAAAGGAAGCACCTTCTTCACAAGGCAGCAGGAGAGACAGAAAACAAAGGGGGAAGACATAGATCCAAACCATATCAGCTAGATATTCTACTGTGAGGTTTATATTCATTCTCTCATGCAATCTTTTAATAGTAACCCTTGAAGGTAGGTACAGTTATTGTCACTTAAGGAACCTGTGGCACAGAATGGGAGAGTAAATAGGCTAAGGTGACATACTATTAAATGCCAGTGCTGGGGTTTGAACCTGGATCTGTCTCATTCTTAGGCTTAAGCTCCTATATTGGAGAGGAATATTAGGTCAAGGTTTTGGAAACTTTTGAAGGTGAAGTTAAGGAGTTTGGGCACCTTTTAGGCAGGCTTTTTCTGAAGTTTGTTTTACAAGCTCTAGTCTTTAGATTTTAGCAGATGTTTCAGAGGGCAAAGGGCATGCATTTCTGTAATCCAGTTCATTGAGAAGACCCAAGGAACACAGGACAACAAGTCTATGTACTCGCTCTAATAGGCTAACATGCATTGTGAACTGGAGAGAGGGGATCTGGCTTGCAGCATTTCCCAAACTTATTTGTCCACATTTTCTTGCTCAGAAAATCATCCATGGACTAAGTGCAGTAGGCAGTAGAGACCCTCAAACAGTTTCTGAGCAGTGGGCTACAAACATGGACAGGTTTGTATTTATGAAGGCATCTCAGGCAGTAGATTTGTGGACAGACACAGTGGTGCCAAACCTCAAGACAGGGAGACCAGTTAGAAAGTAGCTGATTCTATTAAGGGGAGAGGGAGAGGGAGAGATGGAAGTAATCTCACTCATCCATCTGCTAATGAAAATTCTGGGCTCTAGTGACCCAGATTACCAGAGTATCTTCAAGATCCTCATCCAGTTAAAAAGTATTGAGCCATCTCTTAGTACAAAGCACAGTGCTTGGGTTTGCTTAGTGGTCTTATAATAGGAATGGGGAATCTAGAACTCCACAAGGATCATGGTTCATGGTAACAAAGACTCATTAACACCAGCAAACTGAAAACATGCACATGAAATTCTGAGATGGGATGAAGACAGATTAAAGTTTGGGTATCTGGCTTAGGGGCAGGGGGTTGTGGAGAGAGAAAAAAGAGTGGGAAGACAGCAGACAAATGTGAATAATGTATTAGATTCTTTCTGATTTGATTGGGGGTGGGGAGTCAGTGGAAAACCAGGCAATGTAAACAAGGAGACTGGATATAGTGTAGTGTTTGATAGGGATGCCACTGGGATCAAACAGGCCTGGCTTCAAATCCCAGCTCCGCTTAAGACCTCTGTAACCTTACCAGGTTACTTTCCTTCTCTATGCCTCGATTTCCTGTTCTATAAAATGGAAATAATAATGCCTAACTCCTAGGATTTTTGATAAGATTAAATGAGATAATGTAAGTGAATTTAGCAGAATAGAGCCAGCTCTTCCCAGCCCATGAAAACTGGGTACCTATTTCCTAACTCCATGTTCAATTGCCTCATGACAGTAGCTTGAAATCAGCCATGATGAGAGTGTTTACATCGTGAAATTGGCAAATGCTACAAATCAGATTTTTTTTTCTAGAGATCCCACAGTTAAACATTTACCAGCACATTGCTGCATAGAAACCCCAATTATGGAAAGGTATTTTATGTGAGTTTGAGAACAAGGGAGCCAGCGTCTCTCTGAGATGACGCAAGATTTTCCGGTATGAGAAATGGGAGCATGTCAAATTCTCACAGTTTTTCCTGAACCTGACCCTCTAGCTCCTCCAGAGGTATGGGCTAATGAGGGCCAAGTGCAAGAAGGTGTTGTGCTGTGAGATTACGAGCACAGCTGTCCATTGGGAACCGTGGAGCTGGCTTTGATCATACTCAATAAAGAGTCCCACATTTACAGAGTCCCACATTTTCATGAAAATTTTGTCAAAATCATATGAGATGGCTACATACTGATGTTACACTGTCACAGAGGATTTATTATTCAAAGGTATGGATGTTTTCTTGCTGAATTAAACAGCGTTAGAGCTGGGAGAACTGTCTAAACCTGGCAGAGGGTCATCCAGAACATACCCCAGGCATTCCCACTATGGCGCAGCCTTGGCTTGAGTTTCCATGACCACAATGGAAACGTGGAGAGCACAAGGCTGAGAATGCCAGAAACAATTTCCTTTTTCACTCCCATACCACAAATCTCTGAAATTGATCCAGTACAATGGAAAAACTACTGGTCTAGAAGGAAAAAGAAAAATAACATTTATGGACAACTAGGCACTTTACATATATTAATTTATTTAATTTCTACACTCTGAATTAGATACTATTATCTCTATTTTACAGATGAAGAGATGCGGGCTTGCAAAAGTCAAATAACTTGCTGAAGGTGCCCCAGCTCGTGAGAGGCCAGGTTTGAATCTAGATGAACCAGACCCTAAAACTCTCTCTCTGCCTCTTATTCCATGCTGTTCCCCCAGTCAGAAGACCCGGGTACCCTCCCAGGTCTGTCACTTTCTCTTCTCTCTGAGGCAGTTTCTTCATTGATTAAAAAAGCAGAAAAAAAGATGTGGGTTATGCGTGGGGATGTGGATACAAATCTTTTTTCATCACAGATTGGTTTGAGGCTGAGATAAGGCCATTATGCCTACAGAAGAGCACTTTGAAAACCATGAAGAGATATCCAAGAATGAAGATTAGCAAAGGCTAGACCTTAGAGATACCGTGTGAAGATACAGACATACTCCAGCTGCAGTTCCTCCCCGGTCTGTACACCTGGCCCATTGCCTCTGCGTTGATGTCAGCTGTAAGCATGCACAGTTCAGCTGTTGGTTCCCATTCCATGGATCCAGCCTCTGGGCACACTGCTGACATTCATTTGCCTCATGGTTCACAGTTCCTGTCCACATCAAGGCCAAGCCAGC